>NC_000003.12:166432846-166584361 GCF_000001405.40 Homo sapiens | reverse complement strand
ATAAATTTCTGGAAACACACAACATCTCAACATTGAACCAGGAAGAAAGTAAAAATTTGAAAGAAAAATTTGAAAGAAAAATTTGAAAGAAAAAATTTGAAAAAACAATAACAAGTTTTGAAATTGAATCAGTAATAGAAAAACTGCCAACTAAAAAAGCCTTGGACTAGATGGATTCACAGCTGAATTCTACCAGATGTTCCAAGAATAACTGGTATCAATCATATTGAAACGATTAAAAAAATTGATAAACAGGAACTCCTCTCTAACTCATTCTAAGAAGCTAGCATCAGCCTGATACCAAAATCTGGTGGAGATAAAACAAAAAAGGAAATCTTCAGGCCAGTATCCCTGGCGAACATAGAGGCAAAAATCCTCAATGAAATATGATCAAACTGAAGCCAGCAACACATCAAAAAGCTAATTCTTCATGATCAACTGGGCTTTATTCCTGGGATGTAAAGCTGGGTTGACATTTGCAAATCAATAAAACTCATTCGCCACATAAACAGAATTAAAAGCAAAACCATATGACAATCTCCATAGACACAGAAAAACTTTTCATAAAATCCAACATTCCTTCATGATAAAATCCTTAACAGACTAGGTATCAAATGGCCATACCTCAAAACAATAAGAGCCATCTATGACAAACCCACAGACAACATCATACTGAACAGGCAAACGATGGGCTGTTCCCCCTGAGGCCTGGAACAACGCAAGGGTGCCCACTCTCACCACTCCTATTCAACATAGTACTGGAAATCCTAGCCTGAGCAATCAGGCAAGATAAATAAATAAAAGGCATCCAAACAGGAAGAACAGAAGTCAAAATATCTGTCTTCACTGGTGATACGATTCTATATCTATAAAATCCTAAAGACTCTGCCAAAAGGTTCCTGGAACTGACAAATGATTTCAATAATATTTCAGGATACAAAATCAATGCACAGAAATTAGTAGCATTTCTATACACCAATAACGTGCAAGCTGAGAGTCAAATCAAGAATACAGTCCCATATACAGCAGCCACAAAGAAAATGAAATACCTAGGAATGCGGCTAACCAAGGAGGTGAAAGGGCTCTACAAGGAGAACTACAATAGAATCTACAGATTAAATGTTATTTCTTATCAAACTACTAAGATCATGTCTCACAGAATTATAAAAAAAGTATTCTAAAACTCATATGGAACCAGAAAAGAGCCAGAGTAGCCAAAACAATCCTAAGCAAAAAGAACAAAGCTGGAGGCATCACACTACCCCACTTCAAAGTATACTACAAGGCTAAAGTAATCCAAGCAGCGTGGTGGTGGCATAAAAACAAATATGTAGACCAAAGGGACAAAATAGAGTACCCAGAAATAAAGCTATACACCTACAACCACCTGATCCAAGCAATGAAGAAAGAAATTCCTATTTAATAAATGATGCTGAGATAATTGGCTAACCATAGGCAGAAGAAAGAAACTGGATACTCACCTTTTACCATACACAATAATTAACTCAAGATGGGTTAAAGATTTCAACGTAAGATCTCTAACTATATAAATCCTAGAAGAAAATCTGGAAAATACTCTTCTTGACATTGGCCTTGGCAAAGAACTACTGGCAAATTCCTTCAAAGCAATTGAAATAAAAACAAAAATTAACAAGTGGTACCTAATTAAAGAACTTCTACACAGCAAAAGACATCTATCAACAAAGTAAACAGATAACCTAAACTATGGGAGAAAATACTCGCAAATTATGCATCTGATAAAGGTCTGAGACACAGAATCCGTAGGGAATTTAAATCAACAAGAAAAAAAAAACTCCATCAAAAAATGGACAAAGGATATGAACAAGCACATCTCAAGAGAAGACATACCAGTGGCCAAAAACATGAAAAAATGCTCATCATCACTAATCATCAGAGAAATGCAAATCTAAACCACAATGAGATACCATTCATGCCAGTCAGGATGACTATTATTAAAAAGTCAAAAAGTAACACATGCTGACAAAGCTGTGGAGAAAAGGGAACACTTATTCACTCTTGGTGGGAATGTAAATTAGTTCAACCACTGTGGAAAGCATTTTGGAGATTTCTTAAAGAACCTAAAACAGAGCTTCCATTTGACCCAGGAAGTCCATTACTGTGTCTATACCCAAAGGAAAACAGATCATTCTAACGAAAAGACACATGCACTGACTTGTATGTTCATCACAGCGCTATTCACAATCATAGGAAAGACATGGAATCAACCTAGGTGCCTGTCAATGGTGGAATGGATAAAGAAAAAGTGGTACATATATGCCATGAAATATTATGCAGCCATAAGAAAGAATGAAATCATGTCCTTTGCAGTAACACAGATAAAGCTGGAGGCCATTACTGTAAGCAAATTAATGCAGAAACAGAAAATAAGATACCACATCTTCTCTCTTATAAAGGACAGTTAAACACCAAATACACGTAGGCATGAAGATAAGAATGATAGACACTGGGGACTACTAGAAGGGGCGAGAAGGGGGATGTGGGCTGAAAAACTATCTATACGTTACTATTCTCACTACCTGGATAATGAGATCACCTGTACCCTAAACCTCAGCATCATACAATATACCAATGAACAAACATGTACTTGTACCCCAAATATCTGAAAATTGAATTTTACAAAGTAAAGAAATTCTTGTATAACAAGAAAGAAATAGGAATCATATACATATGTATGTATATATAGATTTCACTTTACAATCATTATGTTATACTTCCACTTAACTATAAACACAAGCAACTGTTTTGTATTTTGCAGTGTTTTGTCATTTACAATCCCAATGCATTTATGATGAATTTAGATATATATGAGTATTAAATATACATTTTAAAGTATTGTACTATTTCTGAAAAGCAATCTTCTCTGATAAATATTAGTTAATAAAATATTCTAAATTAGAAATGTATTATTTTCTATATCACTTCTCATAAAGCAGCAAAAAACCAATATGCAACATTAATTTTCATATTTGCAGGACTTACACTTTCTACTTCAAATAATTATTTTTATGTCCCCTCCAAAATAAACACATGAAGTTTTCTTCTTTTAAAGATAACATTACAAAGGAAGTTTGTTGGTTAAAAAATATATTAATGTATTTATTAATAGCTATTAGAATGCTCAATTGCTTTGAGTTCTGAACAAAATTACTTAGAGTGACTGCTTTTCTTTCCCACTTGGAGGGAGGATTCCACCCAGGACTTTGTATCAGGATTAATGAACTGTTTGGTAGCTTTAATTAACTAATGCTTAGTGAAAGTTTCACATCTAGAACAGGAGCTTTAACACATTGATTAGTTTGAGAGTCTGTGTTATTTTGGCAGTCATCAACCCGGCCTATTCTCTGCGCCCTATTTCCATCCACGCCCACAAACTATTCAGAGCATTCTTACTCTCTGCTCTGTTCTTTTGTTTCCTGAAAAGACAATAATTTTCTCTGCACTGGGCTTCAGCCATGTTCTGGCCTACACCTAGAATAATAAGACATCATCTCAACCTAAAAATAAATCACAGCTTCCCCCTCCGGGCCAGCTAAGGACACATCCACGTGAAGCTTTCTCCTGTGGGAATGAAGCTCTTCCTCTACCATTCTTTTGCGGCATTGTGCATATCTCCAGTATACCACATCCTGCCTTCTATGGTAGGCAGCGTGTACATGTTTGCTCTCACTACGCTGCTGCAATCTCTACAAATTCAATTTTAAAACTTACAAAGATTGGCATTCAATAAATACTTTTGGAAAAATTATGTAAATTCCATTTTCGTATAAATGTAAAAATTGGATGTAGGAGCTTTAAGTAAACAATGTAAAATCACTTTTCTAATGATAAATTGGTAGTTATAAAATTCAATTTGCCTGGCAATCAGCCCTTTAAGCCATCTTATATCATCTTCATCTTGTATCTATTTTCTCACACCCTGTGCTTATTTAGATTACTTTTCTTATTAAATACTTTATAACAATCCTTACTTCCAATAAAACTAAGTAGACAAGTTTGTTAAGAATATGTGTAAAAAGTTGCATTTTATATTTTGGATATTGTTGACATGTGCTGCAACTCTCATCAATGACTACTGAGTCTTATTTTCAGGATTACAATGTACATTAAAAATTTACGTAATAAATTAACAAGTCTCAGCAGAAAAAAAAATCAGGAAAAATAGTACAGAATAAATATATAGTTGGCATTGTGAAAAGGGCCAGGAAAATATAATTATTCTACAGTCTGGCTAATCTAGGTATCTTGATTTCATTCTGAGAACATTCCATTCACTCTTGCATAATATTCTTGACATTGCATTCTCTCTAAAGAAATATTAACAGTTATCTATGGAAATAAAGCTTGTTCATATACTCTGACAGTCTTCTACACTGCTAATTTTAAGCATAAAGGAATCTAATAGTGAGTGATTTGAAAGAGAAGTATACTTAAATTTAGTCTTTCTCAAAATTTGTATTCCAGATTTTACTTTTTTTTTGGAATTATCTCATGTATTCCTCTAGGTAAATCTGATTAACTCCTTGAAATTTACAGTAAAAACTTAGAATAATTCTTTATATTTCTATAGTGGTTTATCCTCTAAGAATATTCAATATATAAATATAACAAAAATAAATAATTATATAAAATATCTACCTTCAGAATATTCCATATATAAAATGAAGTCTAGTATAACATATATGATTACTACATATTTTATTGTTTTATATATTATAGAAATATATTCTATTTAAGTTATATTTAAAACACTATATTATGTATTTATTATAAATGTTTATATTTGAATATTTATATTCTCATTATTTGCTCTATTATGTATAATTGTATATAATATACATTATGTAGAGTGTGTGCGTGTGTACATGTATGTGTATACACATACATATTCTGTATTATCAATCTGTGAGGTAGGGAAAGTAGGTTTTGTGTCTTGTTTATAAGTGAATAAATAATATAAAAGGGAAGTGGCTTTTCGAAGTTTACATGGCTAGAAACTGGTTGATCTAGGGCTCAGTTATCACTGTAACTAGCTCAAAATATTTTTCCTGTTGTATTATCTTGCAATTACTTAAGAAACAATTATTGTGAATACTGAAGTACTATTTTCTTCTTCTGGACCTTTCTGATATCCTATTTAAAGCATTTTTTTCTCATTAACATTATCAGCTGTGGATCTACTCCTGGAATTTGTTCTACATGCTTTAATTCTAACTAATTTAATCCTTCCTGCAATAGTACACAAATGAAAAATGCTACAGTTAGATTCCTACAAAGCTCTCATACCTCACATCAATCCTGTGAGGTAGATTATTGTCACTTTCCCTATTTAGAGATGAGTAAGTAAGACACAGAGATTTAAGCAGCATTCAAAATTAGGCTAATGAACTGCAGAATGTCCATCCTCATGAGTTGAAATCACTATGTATGAGTTGTGTGATCTTTTCCAAGTTACTTTATTACTCTAAGCCCCAATTTTTGATTTGTAAAATGAATGAAGTAATAGTACTTAAGTTAACAGATGTCTATAATAATTAAATATGTTTAATGTGCTTAGAAAAGTATCTGGAACCAAATTAGTTGTTTTCATAAAGATCATTTTACTGCCTTTTTAATCAGTGTCTCTCATATATTCACTAATAGTAAACAGTAAAATTATATATGAACTTTTTTAAAAAATCAAAGGCATGTCAACACTAACCTTAACTAGTCCCTTAGAATAGCTTGTGGCCATAGAGGAAATATCATGTCAACTCTGAGTTATGTCTATAATGAGTCCAGTTTTCAATACATAAAACTGACATGAAGTAAGCCTGACAGAGTTAGACTTAAAAAACAAAGTGAGGCAATATTATATTGTAACTATCAACTTCTCTCATAACTAAAGAGATGTTTTAAATAATATATTTACTATTAACAAATACTTTGTGAGAATTTGGAAAGAACTGATGTTTTAAAAGGTAAATATTCATACACTTATTTATCTATCTTTGCATAAGAAGACACATCCAAACTTAGATGCTAGAAGCAGTGTTTTATCATTGTGTCTCATACTTCTGTGGGTTACCAGGGTCAGCAGGCTGATTCTATCTTGGAGTCCTTCATGCAATGCAGTTATACGGTAGTTGGGTCTGGAATCACCTAAAGCCTACTTCACCCACATGTCTTGCTCCTGTTGGGATGTCTGGAAATATTGAGGGCTAATTGAGCATCTTCTCTCTCTCTCTCTTTCTCTGTGTGTGTGTGTGTTGTCTCTTCATGTAGTGTATCCCCATGGCTAGTTGGGCTTCCTTAAAACAGGGTAGTCAGGGTAGTTGGACTATAAACGTAGCAGGTGACAGGTGACCACCTCCCTCAAGGCAAGATTTCCAAAAAAAAAAAAAAAAAGAGAGAAATGGAAAAAGCTGCCAGTACCTTAAAGTCTGGAATGGAAAACAGATATATAATCATCAAATATTTTATAATCAAAGCAGGCCCAAAGTGTTCCCAGATTCAGGGGGAGGGGAAATACATGCCATCACTCAATGGGAGAAATGTCAGAGTTTGGGGCCATCTTTAATCTGCCGCAGCCAATTAAAATGTGTATTTCATAGACTTTCCACCATTTCTGTGCATGTATATTTCATACCAATAAAATGGCCTAAGGACTAGGTTACTTAATAATAGACAAAATATTTTCCAAATATTTAACATTTAATGATTCTATAGTATTTCATTAATGTATGTTTATGAACTATATCTTTGTTACTACTGTTTCACATTCTAATTGTCTATCATTCCTCACTCTTGTAATCAATAGCATAGTGAGCATCCTTTTAGTTTAAATATTTAAAAATTTCAAAGTAATTTTCATAAGAACTATCCTAAGAATTAAAATTACTGACTTGAATTCAGTAACCATGCGAGTTTTTTAATGCAACCATGCAAGTCTTTTAATGTGTGCAGAGAAATGTTTAAATGTGAATATTAAATCTTAAATCCCAGAAGACATCTTTTCCCTATCTAAATCAAAGGATTTCAGTAAAACAATCTCACCGACACTGCAAAGAAAAATTTTCAGAACACTTCATGGAGCATTTTGCAGAGACAGAATATTTAACATGTCCACAATCACACAATGTTAAATCTCAAATTCTTTTAGCATTTTATGTTCTGTTATTACTTATGTAATGGCTGTAATAAAATCACTGAAGAAGAAATCCAAGGTATTTTAGGTAGAATATTCCCATATTTTAAGAAAAAAAATTCTGGATAATAACAAACAAAAATACAAAGAATTCTCTACAGAAGAATATGAGTTGAGATGTACACATAAAAATGCAATCAATGATTTACTAAATTTATAGTTTTGAACAAGGCCAGAATTAGCAAAAAGTGGAGCTGGAGACTTCCATTCTACAAAAATCCTAGCTCCTCATTGTGAATGCATACTCCTACCCCAAATTATAGTAATATAAAGACATAACAGTAGCTATAATTAAAAATAATTGGCAGTTTATTTTTGGTCAATCTTTTGGGACACTACTACATCCCTCAAAGTCATGTGCTGTGTAGAATACCATGGAATAATTTTGAGAAATTTTGAGAAATTGGAGTTAGCTTTCTAACTTAGTAAACTACAATAACTGATATATTTAAAACTTGAAACCTTGACTACATCAGGGGACATATTGAGTTGTATCAAATCTCTGCGCTCTTGAGCCTCAGTCTATAGAGAACAGCCTTTATACCATTATTGATCTCACATGTGGGGCAATTCTGTAGGAACTAGCAAAGAGTGCCAGGCCATAAGTTTCTTAGTGTCACTGTTTAGGTGTGTGTGTATGTGGCTTTAGATATGCATTCAAAGTTAAAAGCAGGGCTATTTCTACTTTAGTTGAAAGACATAAAGGTATGCCTAAATGCTTATATTAACTAGTTATCAAGCTATATTTGTTTATTCTATATTGTGAGTTCTATCTTTCTTAACTGACATCTTATATTTTTATAAAGATTTTAATTAAAAGAAACAATCAATGTCTTGATGAAGAAAGGCATCTTTAACAGGGTTCACAAGAAATAGCCTAATTATATCTATAGCTAACTTATGACGTAGAGATTGGGTTGGGTAACAAGAGTTACAGAATGATACAAAGCTGAGATTTTTGCGATTTAGATTTATAATATTTTACTTGTGACAAATTTATTTAATTATCCACAAAAAAGAAAAGATATGGTATATTTTACACTGAATATAACTTTTTCATGTAAAACATTATTAAAATTAGGCAGGGTGTGGTGTCTAATGCCTGTAATCCTAGCACTTTGGGAAGCCAAGATGGGTGGATCACCTGAGGTCAGGAGTTCAAGACCAGCCTGGCCAACATGGTAAAACCTCATCTCTACTAAAAAAATACAAAATTAGCCAGGCGTCGTGGTGTGCGCCTGTAATCCCAGCTACTCAGGAGGCTGAGGCAGAAGAATCACTTGAACCCAGGAGGTGGAGGGTGCAGTGAGCTGAGATCATGCCATTGCACTCCAGCCTGGGCTACAAGAGTGAAACTCCGTCTCAAAAAAAAAGTATATATATAAATATTAAATATACTTCTCAAAGGTATTGTTTCTTAATTTGTTTTTAACTTTGATTCTTTCATGTTCTGTGTAAGTTCTTCAAAGTCAACAATCAAGAAAGGCCAGAAAGGAATACTAAACTTCAATAAGTAACAGTGTTTAATGTTGTTTGTAGATTGTCTTTGTAGATTGTCTTTCAGAGGCTACATACTGTAGTTCTTTTGTACTTTTGCCTAATTATTAATTTCTTAATTAGGGTTAAATAAAACAAATAGCCAGAGATATTTTTTCGCTGTTCACTTTACAAAGATATAACATCCTTTTAATCGTACAATGACTTCTTTGGTTTTTTAAAGATGATTACATAATACTTAAAGCAACTGAATTATACAGGCAGAACAATTAATGAGTAACTTTGCCAAGATTTCCACTGGCTGGGTTAATCTGTAATACTTAGAATCAAGTCAGTTCCTTGTTCATCAAGATATTGAAAGAAATAAAGCAACGTTCAAATTCGTATTTTATTTAGTTTTAAGTAATGCCTAACTTTATGTTTACACTAACCCTATGGCAAAATGAGCCATTGGAATGCACAAGAAAAAGAAAATAAAACAATAAATACAACAATAAATAAATAAATAATAGACGAAGTTAAAATATGTTGACACTTCCAGCTTTAGACTTCAAAGTCATTTAAATTCATTTATAGATTAATGATAAAAGGGAAACATGGAACAAGACTCTTCATCGTTTATAGTAAGGCAAATATGTTTAAAAAATAAGTCCTCTATGAATTAGCAACTGGAAAAGAGTATAGATTGTTCTTTCTTATTTCATCCACCAAAGTATGTTAGTATAAATTGTATGTTAAATTTCTAATATAAAAAATTTGAAACCGGACTTGAAACATAGTTTTATCTGGTTAAGTGTATGTGAAATCTCTCAAGATAACTTGGGAATAAAAATTTCAATACTTAATGATTTATCTAGATGAAAACATCCAGCATTTTAAACAATTTATTTCTGTACACTGAGTTTTTTCCCTTGGCAGAGTGAGTAACAACAGATGCTTATATTTACACATTTTTACAAGCAATTTTTAGCCCTAAATCTTTAATAACTAGATGAAGCAATACAAAGTGATGAGATCATGCCGTGTACCAAACCGGTTTCCCACTAAACAGAAACATATTCCAAAG
Source organism: Homo sapiens (assembly GCF_000001405.40). Classification (NCBI taxonomy): domain Eukaryota; kingdom Metazoa; phylum Chordata; class Mammalia; order Primates; family Hominidae; genus Homo; species Homo sapiens. The sequence goes on along the minus strand of NC_000003.12, from coordinate 166,574,573 downwards.
TTTGGGTCAATCTTAGAGATCATTTATTCCAACCATCTTATTTTGCCAGTTTGAAAACTGAGTTACCAGACAAACAAAATCTGTTCAGGATGGCATAGTTATTGGTAAAATGAGATCAAGATCCTTAGACTCTTGATTCCTCATTTAGAATTCGTAGAACATTATGTGCTTTACATGCATAGTCTTAGTCACTTTAGGTACTATGTAATGTTGGCAATTTAGCGTGTCTCAAATTAGAAAATGAATGTCAATAAGAATTTTCATCTAACCAGGCACAACATTTACTAGTGATTCTGCATAAATATGAACTTAGATTTCAAAAGTGTGTGTGTGAGTGTGTATGTCTGTGTGTGTATAAGGGTTTAATGCAAATATAGAAGGTTTCCTGTAACCTAATGTAAATAAATACAAAATTGTCCACTTAAAAATAAGGCAATGGAGATTTTTTTTAAAAGAAAATGTGTCCACAATGCAAAATAAATTGGAAGTCAGCAGTTATATTTCAATCAATTATGTATTAATTGTATTTTAAACATCTGATGAGAATTGAGGCTTATGTGACTGAGTCATAAAAAATAATTTTCTGGAATGAGGAATACTTCAATGAACATGAGAGAAAAATTAGTAATTAAGGAAGGAATTTGTGCTGTGGAATATAGAATACCTTCTGCTAAGTTTCTGCATTATTTGCACTGGATGTTCAGCTTGATAAATGAGTTATTCTGCAATTGAGAGTGATTTCTCATACTGTTTTCCCAGTTTCCTCCCACTTATAGTACCTTTGTTCTAAAGCCATGCAATTAGTTTAACTGAATAAATGATGTTATCATGCAAAGTATTGTAAAGTACTGTATGTATAAACATTGTTTACAAATTACTGTACTGAAACTTCTCTAGGTATGCAAATTTGGAAAAACATTTGTAGATCATCTGCTACCCATCTCAAAATAATGAAAAATTCTGCCTGTGCTTGTTAAAAATTGATGCTAGTGTTGCAAGAGAGCCCTGAGTGGCTTTCAGTAGGAAAGCTAGTACATTTAATATTAGCATTTCTGCTTGGAAAATTTCAACTAGACTGACACGGGAGTTAATAAATTTGAGTTAGAAAACTAATTTATTATTATTTTTTTCATATGTAGTCCCATGATTATACTGTTTGACATTTGTTAGTAGAGTTGGTAAAATTTTCTAAAATTGCTTGCATTGGATCATATCCTAAAAGATCCTTTTGATGATCATATCCTAAAAAGATACTCACAATTATTTTGACAATACATATGCTGAATGCCTTAGCAATTAAATAATCAAGTTTCTGATTATATACTTTAATGGACACCTTACAGTAATGATACATGAGATTCACCTCAGTCTTTCAGGTCACAACATAGAATTCCCTTTTTAATACAAAAACAACAAAAACTATATTCCCTAGTACCTATAATCTGAACAATAAAGACTTGCATAAAAATAAAATGCCATGTCTTTTCACATAAACAGCCCACTATTTCCATATAACTTGAGTGAGGTCTTAATATGTATGGAATAAAAAAAGAAAGACTAATGGTCTACTTAAACACACATGTTAATAAGCACATTCTATGTGCCAGGTAATAATAATATAACTACTTATTATCAAGACGTAATATGATTCTATGTGGTAGATATTATTATCATATTTTTAAATGAAGAACTTGAAGCTCATACCATTTGGGTAACTGTCTAAGCTTACATAGGTTCTACATTAGTAAAGTGTTGTATATATTTCAAGATACATTATTAATCATCAGTTTAGATTGGAGTAGGACCTCCAGATGCTTGGCTCAGAATCCACTCTCCTTAAAAAGACTAAATTCTCCACGCTATTTATTCCTGTCTTCACCAGTTCATACTAAAGTATGTGTGTCCCTGACCATCTACCATCTATCACCTTAAAGTTCGGAATTTTCTTGCTACCTGAATTCCTAACCTGTCCGTTGTGTTCTAAGAATTAAGCACTGTAACAAAGAAATTCCCCCATATCTTTAACGTAAATATTCTCTCCACCTCTATGCTTTCTCTGAATGGCTTGCTATTAAGAACTCCACTTAGTGGCGGCACTTCCATCATGTTCTGTGTATTGATTTTTGCAGATTTTTTTATTTCTGTGGTCAATGCTTTCCATTATGTCTGCAGATAGTATTCAGAGATTATTGCTAATGTCAAAATTTTAATCAGACCCTGCCATGCTCTCCTCTGATCCTTTTTGTTGCCCTTCATTGAACCTCCAGTGCCTACAATTTATCAAATAATGCCATGTGACTTGTACTATTTATTTAAATTCCAAACTTTGCTATGTTACTTGTGCAACTTGTATGAGCAGCCAAACATTCCATCAATTCATCTGTCTAATCAGGTTCCTACTATGTTTATCACCACTGACCATCTTCTCTATTCCACTTCAATTCAGCCACTTCCATACTCAGACCTTGAACTCTGTCAACATATAAAAGCAATCCAATTCCAAAATCATCGTGTAAGTTTGTTTTCTTGTTGTTGATAAAGATACACCTGAGACTGGGCAATTTACAAAAGACAGAGGTTTAATGCACTTATGGTTCCACGTGGCTGGAGAGGCCTCAGAATTATGGTGGAAGGCAAGGAGGAGCAAGTCACATCTTACATGGATGGCAGCAGGTAAAGAGAGAGCTTGTGCAGGGAAACTAGCCCTTATAAGACCATCAGATCTCCTGAGACGTATTCACTATCATGAGTACAGCATGGGAAAGACCTGCCCCCCATGATTCAATTACCTCCCACTGGGTCCCTCCCACAACACGTGGGAATTCAAGATGAGATTTGGGAGGGGACAAAGCCAAACCATATCACTTATTAATTAAAACATTCCACTCTGAACCAACTCTGGTTCCTTTCTGTTTGCTCATTCTTCTGTGATTTCAATGTCATCAAGATACGACAAAAGGCAATAAAAACAACCACAAAATATTCGGAGTGGGGGTAAAACTAATAGATCTTGAAGTAGCTAGCTACTCAGAAAGTTCACGTTTTGAGTTGTTCATGGTGCTAACAGGTAAGCAAACACTGAAGCTGTAAAATTTGGGAAGTAGCCTTGCTTTACCACTCTCTTCACATGAAGCCAATATTATCCAAACATGAGGAAGAAAATTGATTTATTCAAAGTTATCCTGAGAAAGAATAAAATTTAATCAATTTTTTTACAAGAAAAGCTAAAAACATTAGAAGAATAGGGGCTACAAATCATATAAAAACGATCATCTAATTTTTAAAATGCAAAAAAATAAATTAACAAAACAATATATCAAAATAATAACAAAGATAAAAAATAAGATTGCTCAGAAATTAGACATCTAAATAATAAGAGGCAGAAAAAATAAGAACTGACAAAAATCAGAAAATACTAGGAAAAAAAGCCATTTTATAAATAAAAACCCACTTCAGAAATAAAGGCTAACTTAAGAAAAAAATAAGAACAAAATGCACACCATAACAAGTACAGTAAATAAAGTAGAGAATGAAAAGGGAAAATAATCTTAATAAAAATTTAAAAGGACAAACATGATTTGAAGTAAATGATACATGCAGAGCATAATTGAAATGCAGTACACGTATTTGAGATCCTTGCAAAGTAAAACCAATGAAATAAATCAGGGCAGATATTTAGCTAATAGAAATAAAAGGAAATTGTTTTTATATAATACATGGTATATTATAAAAATAAATGTTCATTAAACATTTATTGAATTATTTGACTAAATTAAAGTTTCTAATTCAGTTTCTTGTCTCTTTATACACAGACAGATCTCACATTCATGTTAACTGGTTTATTTTGAAGCATAACATTTCATCAAGGTGTATACCTGTATGTGAATATTTAACAATTTGTAAGTAGTTGGCATCTCTATGGGAACTATAATAACTTGGTTATGTTTAAATGTATAAGAATTAAATTCTTCATGAGAATGAAACTGCTTTAAAGCTTTCTTCATAATAACCAAAGAAAATTAAAATCAGAGATCATTTGATAATTTTGAAAAATCTGTTTTCTTATAGTTTCATATTCTTATTAAAATAGTTGAATTTTTAAAGAAATTTGGTAATTTCACATGAATGGGGAAAATAATCTCTATGTTTGCCTTTTAATTAGTTTGTTCAGTTTGCTGAGTCTGCTCTTCTCTCTTTGTTTTCTAATTATGACAGAGAAACTGAAACAGATGCAGATGAAGAATGACCTACTTGAAAATTTACCAGCCAAGCCTGTAAGCTGTGTAGAGTAATGTCAACACAAAGGAAATATCAATTCAAGTGGATTCCAATGTGCAATCACAGTCATTAGTATGGATTGGTGTCAAACTTTCAAGCATTTGCCTTGTTTATTGAACAACCTAATAATTCAAAATGGTAATGGGAAGAGGGTGGAGTAGGAAAATAAGGATAGACTCTGAAACCAAGGTCCTTAGGGCTTCTATATGAATTTCAGAATTACTGTCAAATAAATATTTATTGGTGTCCTTTCTCTTGTATGTAGACAATAAGTACACATACAGATAGCTGTCTAAAAATTAAGTGTTAAGCTGGAATTAGATATTGAAATTGAGTACCAATATTATCTTTAGTCAATTTCCCTTAGGATACTATTTTGTGAAGAGAAAATATTATTCATGTGCATATTAATTAAAGCTTTTAAAATGATCACTGAAAATGTATCCTCTGACCTGCAGAGTATATCCAGTGTATGTTCTTAAGTCCTGGTGCTAGATGCAAATTAAAGATGAGTAATGCAAATTGAAATTTCCATGAAATGAATCATTCTACATAATGAGCTTTACAAATTCCACATTTTATGCAATACCAAAAATAAAAAAATAAAAAATAAAACTCAAATGCTTACCAAGCTAAATGATGCTGAAACTGTTTATCAGCTGAAGAATGGCAGCCAGCAATTAAAAACAGTCAAGCTTTGCAGAAAGCAGCAAGATATTTAAAGAGCAGATATTTTACAAATATCATAAGAAAAAGAAAATGTCTAGAACTCTTTTATATATGTTAAAATAGAAAACTAAGGAAGAAAGGAAATTTTTACAAGCAAAATCATTACAACACATTTTAAAAATCCACAAAACAATGGTAAAATAGTATTATGTATCCTTAACTTTTATGTTTTCAGAATAGATTATAATGACCATATAATTGACTCTTCGATGTAACTCCACTCTGGCCCTCCATTTACAAGTTATTTAAGGTTTCTGGAAACCTCAGGTTATTCACATGTAAGTGGATTTCTATGAGAATGAAACAAAATAATAAGTGTTTAATATCAGGCTAACCAAATGGCACATAGAATCCTCACATAATAGGTGTTCAGTAAATGTTGCTTTTTTATGTTCCTCTATTGTAACCCATTTAGTCAACATATGAGAAAAATAAAAATTACAACTACATCCACCACTCCAAAAATGATTACATTCATAGTTAACTATGTCCCTACTATCTCTATTCTTAGATAAGGTCATAACACAAAATAGCTACCCCTTCTAGAATAATTGATCAAATAAGGAATGTCCGTTGAAACCGTAAAACATGAAAGGAGCGTAGATACACATAAGGTAAACAATTTATAATTTTTATTCGTGTTAGGTTAACACTAGCCCCCATAACAGATAACACCAAAATATCAAAAGCTTAATATAATTTTATTTTTCACTAAATTCTAATTGTTGGTGGGAAGAGGTTTGTGCTGCTTGATATATCGCCCTTTGTGGATTCGTTGTCTCATGAATGAAGAATATGCTTCTTATTTAAGTTTGTTTTCCAATATCTCCCCGAGAGTCATCCTCAATTCAGCAGGAAGGGGGAACTGCAAACTCAGTATAGAGTACGAGATGTGTCAAGTTGTGTTAGAATAATCCTGAAAAAGGCTTACATCACTTATCTCCATACATCAGTGGCCAAGGCTTACTCTTTTGGCCATAACTAATTGCAAGGGAGACTAAAACCAAAGGGAAAATTGTTACTGGACCTCCTAATTTATCTGTTCCTAAGAAAAGTCAGAATTGAATACATAGATAGCAAACATATAGTCTTTTTATATGGTTATGTGTATAATATACTCTTAAAATATTTTATAATCATATGCTTGTTACAAAATAAGGAGCTTTTGTCAGTGCATATTCATTATCACAGTGAATATGCAGTATTGAATCTTAAAATAATATTTTATTTAAAGAGATGAATATTCTGGATTGTGACATATGTATACAAAAGGTTGGGAATCCAATTAATAACCTTTATAATCTGTATTATATAAATGCAGTACTTCCCATTATTAATGGTAGTTTCTAGTATGAGTGAGGGCAAATAAAAACATTAGACACAAAATAGTAATTTTGACAGGCCTTAATCCAACTATAAGCACATTTTAAAAGTTTCTTAGGTTTGACATATTTATCTAAGAAACAAAAGGAATACTTATAAGTTAATTAAGAACAAAAGTTGAATATTAAAAATTAAACTTACCTTCATCCACATTATCTGATATATTTAAATATTTTACTTATCCACTTAAAATTTATTGTGCAAAGGGTGTTACAATTTTTTCAGATAAAATCTTTCTGAGTTCAAAAAAATGTGTTTGAACATAGTAAATAAAATTTATGTTTTCTATGTGCCAATATTCTCCACTAAATTTAGAATTAAACAATTGACTTGAGATCTTACATTAGTTAATGTTATAATTTCCACAATTTAAGATTTAAGAAACTATAAGAAATCTAATAAAGAGACAAGATATGATACATGGCTTATAAAGAATTAAGAAATACTTAATTCTTTATAATAGAATTGCTTAAAAATAGAGAATCTATTACATTATTTCATTATTTTGAATTCTTTGAGGAATTTAGATGATGTTTCATACATGCATAATTTTTAAAAAGTATATATTATCTATCAATCAGATAGTCTGCAAATCAAATGCAGATGAACACAAGAAATTTCTTTGCTAAATATGATTCATTTTGAGGTTGTATATACAATTAATTCATAAAATTTTAAATTTTAAATTAGAGATTAAACTAGATGTATTTAAAGTCAATCTCTAAACCTACAGGCCATTCATTTGGAACACATTTCCATTGAAATTGGAAACACAAAACGACATATCTAAATGAAAATCATAGCTTAGGGAAGAGAGGGAGAGATACACACACACACAAACACACACAGTCACACACACACACACACACACACAAAGAGAATAATACTATTGGAGAAAATAAGCATCTCATCCCCAGTGTCATCATAAAGTTCCTCACGAGAACTGATCACAATAATCATTATTTTTTGCATTTTTAAACTTTCAAATATATCAGATAGTTGATATGGATCTCTAGTGTTGTACACTAAAAATTGCCTTTTTATTATTTTAAAGTAGAATATTTTTGGCATTCCTGAGAACAGAGGCTATAGTAAGTAGATGTTAGTCTCAATACAGTCACCTTGTGTAGTTATTCAGACTATAAACATTCATTTTGCCATACAAGCAGGAATCTTCTCAGAAGGAGAATCAAAAGAATTACAAAGCTCTGTAAAAACAAGAATCTGTGGCTTTATTACTATAAAGAAAAATATGTCAAGAGCTACTGAATTGTGGGAATGTTCATAATAAAATATCACTTACAAAATTGTATTGTATTATCTTCCTTACCCATTGTATTCATTCTCTTTTCCAATACTCCCATCACGTTTTCACACCCTTCTCCCTTATAATGCCCTACTCCTGATGAAAAGAAGTCATAATTTGTAGTTGGCAAAATGTTTCTTGTAAAGTATCCATTCATTATGTAGAGAATAAACCAGTGGTAAAACTTTAATGATATTTTTGTTGTTGTTGCTGGAAAGGGGGGTTATATCTGAAATTATAGGACTTTAGTTTTGTTATAAGGTTTCTTGAAGCTGATAAGAATGTATCAGTTATTTTAAGTTCTAACTACTTATTATTTGTAATAAAATTACACTGCTTAGAATTTAGTAAGTGATATTTCAGACATCATATACATTTTTATTAAGATAAAATGTTAAATGGGAAAACGATGAATATTACCTCAAAGCCAGATCAGGATTAGGGATTTCAATTTTAATAACAAAAATGTGATTTTTATGAAAACTAAAAAATTTCTCTGAGATTAGAATGTTCTATCCCAATAATTAGCTTAAGATGCTTGAAAAATAAAAATATTTTGATATACATAAAATAGTCGCTGGTTATAAGTGTTAATAAATAGTACTTTAAATAATTTTAAATTTCATAGGTTTTCTAAAAGGTTAGCCTCTCATATATTTGAATTATTACTTTACCAAGTTTTTTCCACTAATGATATCTTAGTTTTTATAAAATAATTCATAAATTTCATGTAATTTGATTTATTATGATGAATAAACCTCATTTTATGTAATAATATGTAAATTGTTATATATATGTTAATATTTTATAAACTACAAATATTGTAGGTTTGAGATAGCATAAAATATTCTTTCTTTGTTTTTTGAGATCAATAATAGATTATAAGTAAATTTTACATCAAGTAAACAAGATGCCATTTCATGAATTCCTGAAAACATCAAACATTTATGAAGAACACTTAGTAACTTATTAAGAACCCAAGTATAAGAATCAAGTATAAGAATTACATAATAAAAATGTATGAGTTAATTAAAATATATTTTCCCTAAAATATTTGCCTTAATTTATATCATATTAGTGACTGACTTCCATTCATAGGGGAACAATTATTATACATATCCCTATGAAAGTTCTGATAATTTGAAATTCATTTGTGTTACCTTCCAAATAGAAGAAGGCTATGTAAAATATACACATAAATAAGAAACAAAGAGAGAACAATGAACTCGCTAATGTTTCTCCCATATGGAAAATATTTGTCACATTCCTCCTTATGTTTTTCTCTTGGGAATCAGCTTATTTTTCTCTTTGCAACCTCTCTAACAATGAGACTGAATAATGGAGCTTTAGTTAATTACCTCACATATGTAGGCTCTCCCTTTCTAGACCTTGTTTGTACTTCCTAGAAACAAGGGGTGTGAGACATTATAGGCCAAAGAAAATGAGAAGAAAGCCAATATGAAGAGACTTGACATTATTTCCCAGTGAAATCCTGGGAACCTACACCAACACAGTGTAACTTTGGCATTATAAAAATGCAAGAAGGGCACATTTAGGCAGAGACTGATTAAGAGATTCTGGCTTCTCATTTTTTCCCAAGGAATCCAGTTTCTCAGAAGAAAGGTAAAACATAGCTGGGATATGGGAGAGAGAGAGAGAGCTGATCTTCAAATGATAGTGAAGTTAGAAATGAGAAGACCTGGAGTCAGAATTTGTGGAATGTACAACTTAACTAGGAACTATATATTAATAGAAGACTTACCTAAGAAAAATGGTATTTGCAGAACCAGGGAGAAGCAGAGGGGATAGACTGGAAGACTAGTGGGCCCAGACTACATCCAGATAAAAGGCCACAAATTACAATAGCTGTCAACAGTTTTATTGGAAGCAGCAATGATAGAGAGCATTACCTAGAGACCAGGAGAGTGGAGTGACCTCACAAAAGAGTAAATGGGAAATATAGGATGATACAAATGACTGGTGAGGATATATATGTTTTCCTTTGTCCTTAGATACCAGCGTTGGATGACTTGGATCTTTTGAGTGCCTCTGGATTTTAAGATTAATACCTTTTTTAACAAAAATGAAAAAAAATCAACCATTATCTTTTTGAGCATTACTTCTTTCCTTTTCTATATCCCTGTTTAAAGCTGATTTGAGACATGTTAAAATATATCACACTATCCTTCATGTAAACTTCTTCCATATTTTCTGTTTTTGTGAACTGAATTCTATACAATTTATTTTATCTATCATAAATGTGTTAATTTTTTCTTTAACTGTGTCTAAGCTGCTAGCTAATCTATCATTGATTTTTAAACTTTGCACCATTGTTTTTTTATTTCATTTAAAAAATATTCATGCTCTATTCTCAGAATTTTAATCTTATATACTAATACTTCAGCTGTACTGAACATATTTATTTTATGTTTATGTCTGATGATTGCAATATCTAAAGTCTATTGGACCTATTTCTACTGTTTCAGGGATAGTTATCTTAGAAAGTTTAGGTATAAAATTTACTCTGAATTTGCTCAGTACATTGGAAATACAGTAGTAAGTGAAACATGAATCATACTGTTCATTTATTTGTTTTTTTTACTGTTTTTCTCTTCACTTGCTATCAAACTCTATTTTTCTTTAGTCTTTGCTCATTTTACTCCTTGCCTTAGTTTATTTTTCTTCTCTTTTCTTATCACTCACTCCTTCCATTCTCACAATTTACCTGTCTCTTCATCTGAACCATTACCTTCTTTCTTATATCTGTATCTGTAATTTAAAAACAAGTTATAAAATGTTCCAAGGAAATCAAGTAAATTACCTGCAGGTCTGTAATTGTTAACAGGGTACATGTCTCAGAGGAATCAAATAAATAAATCTGACATTTCTTTATAATAGTCAGTCTGGTCTAACACTGACTTTTCCCCTATCTTAAAATAAATAGCTCAGCATTCTGGATCCTTCACACACCAAAAATTATTAACCAGTATTTACAAAACTAAAAGTTTTCCAGGCCTTAAGTTTCTCTATGCTCCTACAACAGATCAGTAAGGAGTAACAGAGTCATGCTCTTTATGTATTTACATATTAATGTCATTTTCTCAACATTTACCTAATATTGTTAGAAGAAAATAAAAAATACTAGGTGAAGATGATATACATTTTCTGGAAGTATTAAGGATATACCCTATCCTTACATCACTCTTCCTTTACATAATGCTGCAGATGAAAAATACCATTCAAAATTTCAATGATAGTTTTTCTCCTAATGAGCTGGTATTCATCGTCTCTACAAAAAATGAAAACTAGATAACTGCTTAAGTTATCCTTTTGTGTCTTTTTTCTGTAAAACTTAGAGACACATTTGAAGCTCATGCATAAAAAAGGCATTGAGATGTATGTTGTGTGAGTGTGCTATTTTCTCCTTTGACTATGATTTTCTATTTTTGTTTTACTATCTCATTTTCTATAACTTTTATGATAAGCCAGCAGCCTTAAAACTTTTGCACAAAAAGAGTGTACATATAAATACAAATCAGCTTGTAAATGGGTCTTTGCAAATAAGTTGGAAGTTTCTAAAACTTAAAACCATCCCACCTGCATTTGATGTTTTCATGACAAAAATTATTGCTCTTCATGATCTTTTTTTTTTTCTGACCATAAATAAACTGGATCACCTAACTATAAACTAAATTCTCTATTTACTCATACCATGAAAATAGATATTAACATTTCAATAACATTATTATTATTTTTGTCATAGCCTATTATTGGTCTCACCTAAAATTATGGAATTATTTTGATTAGAATTAAAAATGGACACTAAAAAACATGAACATTAAACAATCCTAGAGATAAACCATCCCACATGCATTTGATGTTTTCATGACAAAAATTATTGCTATTAATCATCTTTTTTTTTCTGACCTGAAATAAGCTGGACCACCTAACTATAAATTAAATTCTCCATTTACTCATACCATGAAATTAGGTATTAACATTTCAATAATATTACAATCTATTATTTTTGTCATAGCCTATTATTGGTCTCACCTAAAATTATACAATTATTTTGATTAGAATTAAAAATGGACACCAAAAAACATGAACATTAAACAATCCTAGAGATAAATTTATATGAATGTCCTGTTTTCTATCCATCTAAATTCTGTAATTTTTATTTTAGTCAAAATGTGATTGACATTACAGAAAATAATTTCATAGATAAAAATACTCTTAACTATATGGGGATGAGGTAGGGAGGTTTGATTTTATGTACTATTGAATAAAGAAAAATAGTTTTAAATTTTATTTTATTTGAAGAAAGCACTATTGTTTAATTTTTGCATGTCTGGTTTTCTGTAGCCTATCAAATTTAGTGCTAGCAATAAAATATGTAATTTAAAAATAAATATTTTATATAGTTGAAAAATATATTATTTTATAATAAATAAGGTATAGTTTTTTTCTACTAACATCTAATAAGCCATCAATAGTGCTGCAAAATAAGGGAAGGAAATGCAAGTCTCTCAGAGAAATCGATCAACTGATGGCTCAATTAAGTCTAATTCATCCAAATTTGCTGATTCATTTGGTTTTTTCCCTTCGGTTTCTTTATTTTTAACTTTATACCAGCCAACTTAAGAAACATTCAGTTTTGAAATCTATATAATTAAATTATATTATAATGCTATAACAAGAGATATTTGCATTATAATGATATCAGTATAATTGGATTATGTTTATATCTCTAGGAATGTTTCATGTTCGTGTTTTTTAGTGTTCAGTTTTAATCGGATTATATTTATGATGTAGTAAACAAATTTATAAACAAGTGAGTCAAATGACCCATATAACAATATGATTTTCTGTTAATGATAATATTTCAAAGCTGTTCATATGATTTTAAATACATGTCATTCTATTATATTAGTAAATCATATATTTACCAATTAATATTTTATATGATTAAAGAAATAAAAAATAGGTACTTCCTAACTAATGGGAACTTACATTTTGCCAAAGAAAGGAGAACATTGCAGACACAAATTTCTCAGAAATTTTGGCATGCAAAATATCAGTAGGCATTATGTTTCAACTCCTTAAGTACTCCTAATTTCTGTAAATCAGTGATTAACTATTCCATGTAAATGATTTCCAATAAGTTAAACTTATATCACTGGATACTGAAAACAAATCACTATTAAAATACACTACAGAGTTTTGGGTTATTTTGTTTGTTTGTTTCCAAGATGACAGATTAGAGGTCGTCAGCATGCCTCAGCCACTTAGAAATAGCAAAACAGTGCGTCAAGTTCAACTCTGTGAGCTTTAAATCAAAAAGGAAAATGGGAATTCACAGGAAGAGTGAAGGACACGTCAAACACGGGAGGAGAAGGTGTGCAAGTAGCCCTCACGATGATGTTTGGCTGATAAAGTGGGTGAAGCCTCAATATGTGAGAGGGGCAGCTAGTCTTCCTCTGTCTATCACCTTTTCAGTAGTGATCTTTGCAACCCGGGCCAAGGGAGAGTATCTGTTTCTACCAAGCCCAGGAGATAGCTTGGGGAGAGACAAAGAGACACAGAGAAGAAAAGACACTGGAAAAAGTTCAGGCATTTTCTCAGACCCAGAACTGAGAGGAAGATGCAATCTTTAATCAGAGCTCAAAAAAGTCAGTCATTGTTTGACAACCTGACAACCATGGCCACTGCAGACATTGGCCTGGCCAGTCTAAGGCTGGAGATTGGAGTGCTTGCTCTGGAGTAGGGTAAGAGCCCCACAGTCAGAACTGAGCAGTGAATGTGGAGAGCACCACAGCAGCAGGTGCTGGAATTACGCTCTCTCCCATCGCAGAACTTGAACAGAAGTAAATTTGCTGAAACTTAGGTTTCTTCTGAGTGGAATGGCTTGTTACTAGTGACAGCTTATCAACCTGGATCCAGTCTGTGTGTTTCACTGTGGAGTGCCCAGTCCACCCCCTTGGTCAGTTTGGGGATAGTGTCCCATCGGCTCTAAGAAGGGGGTAGGAGGTGAACTCTACTCTCTTAGATATCTAACCTTTGGTGTGGACTGCCACTAAGAAGAGGGCAGCACAGCCTGACAAAGCCACCCTTGGGTCAAAGGAAATGTGAATGTGGTGCCAGTCTTTGACAGAGAAAACAACAAAGCCACAGTAAGGACTTGTAGTCGGGAGTCATCTCTTGCCCCCTCCCGGTAACTAACTGCTGAAGACAGCAGCAGTTCTTCCATTGGGGCCCAGAGAGCATGGGCTGAAAGAGGTGCTTCCCAGGCTTCTCCAGCGGTTTCACCCTTGCCAAAGACCAACGTAGCTGGGGAAGAATATTTTTCGTGCTTCTCTATTTACTCCACCACTGCAGAAGGCCAGCCAAGTAAGAGCCTACCTGCCAGCTCTTACTCTGAAGCGCCGTCTACTGGAAGTCAGACTGAATTATACCACCACTACACCAAGCAATCTTGAGAAAGCCATCTGAAACCGAGGACCCTGCACAGAGCTCTGTATCTGTAAAAGCACTCAGAAATAATGCCAATTGATCATTCACAAAATACACCGGAGTCATGCCCTTGAGGGAAGAAAGAATAAACAATAAAAAATCAAAGCAATGGCAAATTCAAAAAGGAAGCACCAGTTCCCTTGATTGAGAAAGAATCAGTGCAAGAACTCCAACAATACAAAAAGCCAGAGTGTTTTGTCACCTCCAAAGGATCCCAATAGCTCCCTAACAATGAATCCTAACCAGAATAAAATATCTAAATGACATATATAAAACTTAGGATATGGATGGCAAGAATAATAAATGAAATCCAAGACAAAGTTGTAATCCAACCCAAAGGAAATGGGAAAAAAATCCAGGATTTGAAAGATGACACAACTATATGAAGACAGAACTGAACAGAACTTCTGGAACTGAAAAATTCCTTACAGGAATTTCAAAATGCAATTGGAAACCTTAACAACAGACTAGACCAAACAGACAAAAGAATTTAAGAGCTCCAAGAATGGTCCTTAAAATCAACACAGTTAGAACAAAAAAACAAAAACAAAAACAAAAAACAAACAAACAAAAAAACACATAATTTAAAAAAAAAAGCCTTAGAGAAATATGGGATTAGATGGGGCAAACAAATCTATGATGTATTGGAATTCCTAAGAGAGAAGAGAAAGAAATCAAATTGAAAAACATACGTGAGGATAAAATTCAGGAAAATTTCCCCTATCTTGGTAGAGAGGTTGACAGAAAGATACAGAAATACAGAGAACTACTGTGGGATAATATGCAAGACAACCATCCCCAAGACACAGCGTCATCAGACTATCCAAGGTCAGTATGAAAGAAAAAAATCTTAAAGACAGCTAAAGAAAAGGACCATATTACCTATAAAGGAAAATCCATCAGACTAACAGTGGGCTTCTTAGCCGAAACTGTACAAGTCAGAATAGATTGGAGGCCCATCTTTAGCATTATTGAAGGAAAGAAATAAAAGCCAAGAATGTCCTATCCCACCAAACTAACCTTCATAAGCAAAGGAGAAATAAAGTCTTTCCCAGGGAAACTATCACTAAGGGAATTCATTACCACCAAACAGCCCATACAAGAGTTGCTTAAGGGCATTCTAAACATGAAATGAAAGAATGAAACTTGTTGCCAGAAAAGCACATGTATAGCACACAGCCCACAGACTCTATAAAGCTACTGCACAACCAAGACTAGAAAGCAATTAGCAAACAACACTAAGACAGGACTAAAACCTCACATATCAATATTAATTTTGAAAGTAAATTGTCTAAATTCTCCACTAAAATAACATAGAGTGACAAATGGGATTAAGAAAAAAAGACTGATCCTTCTGCCCTCTTTGAGAGACCCATCTCATATGTAACGACTCTTATAGGCTCAAGATAAAATCATAAAGATGTATAACTTGAATGGGAAAAGAAGGAAGCAGGATCACTATTCTTGTATCAGATAAAACATATTTTAAACGAATAATAGTTTTTTAAAAGCCAAAAGGAGCATTAAATAAAGATAAATGATTCAGTTCACCAAGAAGATTTAACTATCCTAAATATACTCATTCAATATTGGAACAACCAGATTCATAAAACAATTACTTTAAGTCCAGGAAAAGACTTACACAGACACACAATAATAGTTGAAAACTTAAACACCCCACTGACAGTATTAGAAAGATTCTGATGGCAGAAAACCAACAAAGAAATTCTGGACTCAAATTTCATGCTAGATCAATTGTACCTAATAGACATCTATAGAATAAGAATAGTCCATCCAACAATCACATAATGTACATTCTTCTCATCTGCATACAGAGCGTACTCTAAGACTTACCACATGCTCAGTCATAAATCAAGTTTCAATACATTCAAAAAATCAAAATTATGCTGAACATCTCTTTGGACCACAGTGGAATAAAAATAGAAATTAATACCCAGAGGAGCTCTCAAAACCACACAATTACATGGAAACTAAACAACTTGCTCCTGAATGACTTTTGGATAAGCAACAAAATAAAAGCCGAAATTCTAAAAATCCATGAAATACGAAAATAGAGACACTACATATGCAACCTCTTGTATGCAGCAAAAGCAGTGTTAAGAACATTTACAACACTAAACACCCATGTCAAGAAGTTAGAGAGGTAACATTATACCATCATAACTAAAGGAACTAGATAAACAAGAAAAAGCTAATTCCAAAGATAGCAGAAGGAAATGAATAATTAAGTCAGAGCAGGACTAAATGAAACTGAGACGAAAATCCAAATAAGCACAATCAGAAATGACAAAGGTGACATTGCAAATGATCCCACAGAAATACAAAATATCTTCCAAAACTATTATGAACACCTCTATGCACACAAACTAGAAAATCTAGAAGAAATGAATAAATTCCTGGAAAGAAACAGACTTCTAAGATTGAATCAGGAAGAAATTGAAACCCAGAATATACCTATGAGTTCCAAAATTAAATCAGCAATAAAAACAGTTGCCAACCAAAACAAAACTATAGATGAGATGGATTCACGGCCAAATTCTAATAGACATACAAAGAAGAGTTGATACTAACCCTACTGAAACTATTCCAAAAAATGAGGATGAAGAATTCCTCTCTAACTCATTCTTTGAAACCACTATCTTCCTGACACCAAAATCTGGCAAAGCCACAACAAAAAAAGAAAACTATAGGCCAATATCCTTGGTAAGCACAGATGCAAAAAACTTCAAGAAAATACTAGCAAACTAAATCTAGCAGCACATCAGAATGTTAATTCACCATAATCAAGTGGGCTTTATTTCTGGCATGCAAGATTAGTTGAACATATGCAAATCAATAAATGTGAGTCACCACATAAACAGAATTAAAATTAAAAAAAAACATACGAGCATCTCAATAGATGAAGAAAAAGCATTTGATAAAATCCAAAATCTCTTCATGATAAAAACCCTCAAGTGACTAAGCATCAGAGGGACATACCTCAAATAATAAGAGCCATCTGACAAACCCACAGCCAACATTATACTAAATGGGGAAAAGTTATAGCATTCCTCCTAAGAACTGGATGAAGAAAAGGATTTACACTCTCAGCACTCCTATTCAGCATAATACCAGAAATCCTAGAGCAAAATCAGGCAAGGGAAAGAACTAGACATCCGAAAAGAAAAAGAGGAAGTCAAATTATCTGTCTTCACTGGTGATATGATTCGATACCTAGACAAGCCTAAAAACTTTGTCAAAAGACTCCTAGACCTGATAAATAACTTCAGCAAAGTTTCAGGATACAAAATCAATGTGCAAAAGTCAATAGCATTTCTAAACGTCAGTAACATTTAAGATGAGAGACAAATCAAGAACATGATTGCATTATAATAGCAAAAACAAACAAACAAACAAAAAACTCATAGAAATACATTTAACCAAGATCAAGAAGGTGAAAGATCTCTACAAAGAGAACTGCAGAACACTGCTGAAAGAAATGATAGATGACACAAAAAAATGGAAAACCATTCCATGCTCAAAGATTGAAAAAATCAATATTGCTAAAGTGTCCATACTGCCCAGAGCAATCAATTCATTCAAAAGTATTTCTATTAAATTACCAACAGCATTTTTTACAGAATTAGAAAAAAGTACTCTAAAATTTATATGAAACTAGAAAGAGCCCAAATATCCAAAGCAATCTTAAGCAAAAAGAGCAAAGATGAAGGAATCACATTACCTGAATTCAAGGTATGGTATAACCAAAACATCATGGTACTAGTACAAAAATAGACACATAGATCACTGGAATGAATTAGAGAACCCAGAAATAAAGCCACACACCTACAATCAACTGACCTTTGACAAAGTTGACAAAATTCAATAATTGGGAAAAAATCCTCTATTCAATAAATTCCGCTGGAAAAACTGGCTAATGATATCCAGAAGGAAGAAACTGGACTCCTACCTCTGACAACATACAAAAATTAACTCAAGATGAATTAATCATCTAAATGTAAGACCTCAAACTATGAGAATCCTAGAAAAAAAAACCTTGGAAATACCCTTCTTAATATCAGTCTTGGCAAATAATTTATGGCTAAGTCTTTAAAAGCAATTGCAACAATAACAAAAAATTAACAAGCGAAACCTAATAAAATTAAAGAGCTGTGTGGCAAAAGATACTATCAATAGAATAAATAATCAACCTACAGGATGCAAGAAAATATTTGCAAAACATTAATCCAACAATGGTCTAATATTCACAATCCATAAGGAATGTAAACAAATCAACAACAACAAAACAAATAACCCCAATAAAAAATGGGTAAAGAATATGAACAGACACTTCTTAAAAGAAAACATATATGTGGCCAATAAACCTGAAAAACTGCTCATCATCACCAATCATCAGAGAAATGCAAATCAAAACCACAGGGAGACACCATCTCATACCAGTCAGAATGGCTATTAAAAAGTCAAAAACTAAAACATGCTGGTGAGGCTGCATAGAAAAAGGAACACTTATACACCGTTGGTGGTAACGTAATTTGGTTCAGCCCCAGGGGAAAGCAGTTTGGTGATTTCTCCAAGAACTGAAAGTATAACTACTTTTCAACTCAAAAATCCCACTACTGGATATATACTCAAAAGATAATAAACCATTATATTAAAAAGACACCTACATTTGTATATTTTTTCACAGCACTATTCACAAGAGCAGAGACATAGAATCAGCCTAAGTGTCTGTTAATGGTGGATTTGAATTTTAAAAATGTGGTATGTATATACCATGGAATAGTATGCACCCATAGAAAAGAATGAAATCATGTTCTTTGCAGCAACATGGATGCATCTGGAGAACATTATCCTGAATGAATTAACACCTAAACAGAAAACCAAATATTACATGTTCTCACTTACAAGTGAGAACCTAAATGTTAGGTTCTCATGACATACAGATGGGAACAGTAGACACTGAGGACTCCAAGTGTGGGAAGGGATGGAGAAGCACAATGGCTGAAGAAGCTGGATATAGTGTTGGGTCCTATGTTCACTGTTTGGGTGACAGGGTAAATAGAAGGCCAAACATCAACATCACACAACATACCCTTGTAACAAACCTGGACATGTACCCCATGAATCTAAAGTAAAGAGAAATAATTTTTTTAAAAAACTACAAAAATGAAAACACTATTTTATTCAATCTATTAATCTGGTCATAGGTGTTCTTTTGATGCATTAAACTTGTAGCATTAATTCTATTTTTTCTTCTATCAAACAATAAATAGATTAAAATTATGCCTGGGAAAATCATGGTCTTCTGTGGGGAGAAGAGAAAAAGGAAAACTTCTCCTTAGGCACATAATCTGAAAATTTAAATTCACCAGTGCCCATCAATCCTTAGTTATTTTTTTCATGAACCTTGAAATATGTGACTGTGTATTTTTTATGTGTACATGTAAACTTTTAAGGTAAATAATATTGAATCTTTAATATGAATGCATCTTGACCAAGAGAGCAACCTTTTACTACAATGCAACCTAATATGGAGGCCATAGAGCTGTCCCACTGAGAACACAATTCTCAGCCAAGGAAAATCTTTTACCTAATACAGGGAAGTAATGACTAACAGTCATCAGGGTGGATTTCCTGAGAAGATCATTAGACCTTCTCAGACTCCTCTGAACCCTCAAAACCTACAGAGGTAGCCCATCTACCCTGTAAAGAGCTAGTATATTTATTTGAGAAAACTCTGCAGAGATATTCACCTGCAAAGCTAATAGGTGAACCCTCAGGAGCTAATCTGGGCTGATAATTATAGTTAAATCCCATCATAACCAGTCTGGTAATATGCAAAGTCTGATATAAGAGGAAGAAAATTACAACCCTAAAGAGCTGCAAAAATGAGCTAGCATGTAACAGGATCCAAGGGAGTAGGCCTGATACTGGATTTTATTCCTAGCAACACCATGTTTTATTAAATAACTCTTCAATCTTCTGTCAGTAAAAGCCCCCTTGGTTGCTGCTCTGACCTTGCTGGTTTTTACAGTGGTTCAGCAATACAACTTGGACACTACTGCTCTATTTCAAGGGCTCTGGAATGTAAACTAAATAGGTAAGAATTCATTGACTTAGGGTCACTTTTATGGAACACAAGATTTAATACCCTGGCAGGGATCCCAGGGGATTATGCAAACTAGTTGCTGGGGTGACTTTTTAAAACCCGGAGATCATATTTGTCTTTTTGTGCCTGGTTTATTTCACTTAGTTTAATGTCCTCCAGGCTCATCCATGTTTTCATAAATGGCAGAATTTTCTTCTTTTTTAAGGTGGATAAATACTGCCTGATTTCACTTACATGTGAAATCTAAAATAGTAAAACTCATAGAAAGAGTAAAATGCTCGTTATCATGGATTGGGGGCAGGAGAAATGAAAAGAGACTGGTCAAAAGGTACAAAGTTTCAGTTATGCAAGATGAATAATTCATGGTAATTTAATGTACAACAATGTGGCTATAGTTAATACTGTATTATAAACTTGAAATTTGCTAAGGTAAAAGATTTTAGTTTTCGTCTCACAAAAAAGAAAGAAAAGGAGAGATGATGGATGTAGTAATTAGCTAGACTACGTTAATCATTTCACAGTGTATATGTATATAAAAATATCAAGTTGTATGCCTTAAATATATGCAATTTTTATTTGTAAATTAAATAAAAATGTTTCAATAAAGCTGGAGATAAAACCTTGGAGAAGCTGATGGCTTATATTAAGTAAAGTTGAAGTACCTCAGTTACTGTGGCAGATGGTAGATAAAAGAAATAAAAGGACTCAGGGGTGTGTTCATAAAATGATTACATAATGTAAGGTCAGAGGAACTGCTAAAGGACATTATTGCATGGAAAGACCCAGAGCCCTTCACCTTTAGCCAAAGTCTTAATAATTGTACTGGCAAAAGTAACACTGGTCTAGCTAAAAAGTGACTCTCTTCTACAGACTAGTGGTGATGATGGTAGAAGATGTAGCCACAGAGCTTGTCTGTTAATAGTGAAGGAAATTATGGATTGCTAGAGGGATAGAGGCCAGGTGTTATTTCTTAAAGCCAGGGAGTAACATTGCTGTAAAGTTCAGCCAGATCAAAGGGATAGTACAGGGAGCTTTATTAACAAGTTGATGAGTTAGTTAATAGAAGAACATGTTACTGTTATTGTTTCCTAAGGGAAAAATAGATAATGAATAAAGATGTTGTTCAATAATTATAATCAGAAGAAACAAGAGTATTTGGGTGGCTTTCCCAATAAAATCTTGTGACCTCTTCATCAGTTACTAGCCAATGTTCGGGTCCAGAATCCACTGACTTAAGCAAGCATTTAATCATTCCTTCAGTTCTTCTCCATAAGGGTCTATGGACATTTACCCACGTGACTGTACACTGTGTGAATGTGAACACTCAGGTGTATGAGAACTTTTGGACATAGGGTCATAAATTGGGATTTATACCTGGAAGCTCAAAGTGCCATTAAAACCCCATATTTGAGTGGAGATATGCAGAAGGAAGATAGTAAACGCTTACATAAATATCCATGGCATTTTTCATTCCCTGAGTGTTACAATTGAGACAAAATCAGTAACTGCAACATAGGGCCCTTGGCCTGAAAAGTAGAGCTATAATTGAGGAAAGCTCAAAGGAAAGCCTCCAAAATTGTCCCTTACAAGCCAAGACGGTAAATCAGAACAACATTTCTTGAGGGAGCAGTGGCAGAAAGAGAGAGAATAAACTCAAACAATGGTGCAATTCTTTTTTTTTTTTTTTTTTTTTTTAGACAGAGTCTCACTCTGTCACCCAGGCTGGAGTGCAGCGGCATGATCTTGGACCACTGCAAGCTCTGCTTCCCGGGTTCACGCCATTCTCCTGACTCAGCCTCCCGAGTAGCTGGGACTACAGGCACCTGCCACCATGACTGGCTAATTTTTTGTATTTTTAGTAGAGACGGGGTTTCACTGTGTTAGCCAGGATGGTCTCCATCTCCTGACCTTGTGATCCGCCCACCTCCACCTTCCAAAGTGCTGGGATTACAGGTGTGAGCCACCATGCCCAGCCAATGGTGCAATTCCTGAAGTTCCAAAGGATTCAGGCATGGTAGTCCTAATTGTAACTCCCTTTAATTAACTAGTATGCCCTCTGCTGAAATCAGATGGTTCTTGGAGATCACTGTAACTCATACAAGTAGCCCCAGTTGCAGCAGTCATACTAGTCATACTTATTGTTTCTAGAGATTAATACAAGATCAGATGCATAGTATGCAGTCATTTATTTGGCAAATACACTTATTTTCATTGCAATCAGGAAAGAAGATTCAAACCATTTTATATCCACCTGGATACTACAGTAATATTCATATGCAGTTGTACCCAGGCCTATGTGAACGCTCCTGCCATCTGTCATAATATATTTCAAAGTGCTTTAGACTATCTGAAATATCCATCAAACATCATATTAATCCATTACATCAATGACATCATGCTGATTAAGCCTGATATACATGAGTTGGCCAGTTTGCCAGACACTTTGGGCAAGCTACATATACTCCAGAAGGTAGCAGATAAACCTTTTAAGATGAAAAGATCCGCAACTTCTATAAATGTTTAGTGATCCATTAAGCAGAACATGCCAAGACATTTCCTCCAATGTAAAAAATACGTTGCTGTACCTTGCATTACCTACTGCAAAAAAAAAAAAAACCATAATGCCTCACAAACTTACCTGCATTTTGGAGTGAATGTATTCTACAAGTAGGAATACTGCTATTGCCCATATTCTCTGTGACATAGGTGCCTGCCAGATTTAAGTAGGGCTGAAAATTCCACTTTACTTGTGTATTAAATGCTTTTTAAGAAGCAGCCTCTGGTACATTACAGGTCTAGGCCTCTCACAGAGACAATTGCTTCACTTTGTCTTACTAAATGCCTGGGAATTTGGGGCTGCTCCTTTAGAAGGCGAGTTTTATTGGACCTACAAAGTAATAAAGATAGATCGGCAAAGGATTAGTCCATCATAAGATCAAAATGCTGTATATAGTATTAAGCCCAAACAGGATTTATGTATGTCAGTCCTCTATAGAACTCATCATAGTGCAAAAAAAAAGTGCTCCAAGGTGAGAATATATACAGATCTCTGGACTGCACTTGATGGCTTAGACTTCTTCCACGTTCTGAAATGAGAAGATCTAAGACAAAGAAGTCTAGAGTAGAATCATTTACATGAGAATATAACATTGGATTAAGAATTATGAACATTTCAATTACATGTTAATGCATGTTTATTATAGATGCAATAAGATACCAAGTATATAAAACGAATTGCCTCATTGCTACCGACCGGCCTTCATCATTAGCGAGACTAGAATGATGAGCACATGAATGATCCAGCCACAGTGACAGATATAGAGGCCACACTTGGGCCCCAAAGCATAGATTTCCACCTACAGAGCCCATTGTAGCTATTTTCTCCTATGAATGACTGTTTTGTCAGTAGCAGAGACCCATACTGAGCCCCTTGTTTGTCACTATTACTCATGGAAAGAAAACAGCCATTTGGTTGTAAGTTCATCACTTTGGTCGTCTTCTGAACTGGAAGAGCTACGAGTTCATGGTCACAGGGATAAATATATTTTCTGAGGTTGGGTTTTCTTTCCTTATCTGTAAAGTCTCATCTAGCATCACTAAATGGGAGCTTGCTGTATTAGTCAGAGTTCTCTAGAGAGACAGGGCTAATAGGATAGATGTATATATGAAAGGCAGTTTATTAAGGAGTATTAGTATTGGTTCACATAATCACAAAGTGAAGTCCCACAATAGGCCATTTGCAAGCTGAGGAGCAAGGAAGCAAGTCCGAGTTCCAACACCTCAAAAGTAGGGAAGTCGACAGTGCAGCCTTCAGTCTGTAGCCAAAAGCCAGAGAGTTCCTGGCAAACAACTGGTATAGGTCCAAGCATCCAAAAACTAAAGAACGTGGAGTCTGATGTTCAAGGGTAGGAAGCTTCCAACATGGGGGAAAGATGGAGACCAGAAGACTCAACCAGTCTAGTACTTCCATGTTGCCCTCTCTGCTTCCATCCTAGCCACACTGGCAGCTGATTAGAAGTTGCTCACCCAGACTGAGAGTGGATCTGCCTCTCCCAGTCCACTGACTCAAATGTTTAATCTCCTTTGGCAACACCCTCAACAGACACACCCAGGAACAATACTTTGCATCCTTTAATCCAATCGAGTTGACACTCAGTATTAACCATCACACTTACCAAATGTCTTACCAATAGCTATAAAATCTCATAGACCATAGCATCCAACCAAGAAACACACTTCATAGAGTGAGACCATGACCTGTGAACTACTGATTGTATCACATGACATACTATAAAGAAGCAAACAGCCTGATAACTCATTGGGATGTCTTATTGACAATGCAGATGAAGTGCTAGCTCAGAGCAAATATCAAAAAAGGAGAAATTACTGTACCTTAGGATACATACACTAAAACACAGTGTGCCTCCCCAATAGAAAGGATACATGGTTCTGGTAACCAAAATGGGAAGAAGAAGTAGCCTACTTACCATCCCTACCAATGACCTGCTAGAGAACTTTGTGTCCCTGTCCGTGAAACTCTAGTTGAGTCCTGGTTTCCACAAAGGCCATATTCTTGCCTGGTAACATACCAAGAGTTCCACTGAAGTTCAGATTACAGCTATTATCTTAGCACTTCATGATTTTTTATTATTTTAAATTTGTTTTATTGTAGATTTGAGGGTACGTGTGCAAGTTTGTTATATGGATATGTGGTGTAATGGTGGATTTGGGGCTTCTAGTGTACCTATAGTAACCACTGTACCAAGTAGATAATTTTTGAACCTCATCATGTCCTAATCTTCCCACTTTGGAGTCTACAGTGTCTATTGTTGTCATCTTTATACTCATGTGTACCTATTGTTTAGCTCCCACTTACAAGTGAGAACATGTGGTATTTGATTTTCTTTTTCAGAGTTATTTCACTAAGGATAATGGCCTTCAGCTCCATCAGTGTTGCTCCAAAGGACATAATTTTATTGTGTTTTATGATAAAATAGAATTCCATGTGTATATATACCATATTTACTTTATACCATCAACTCTTGATGGACTTAGGTTGATTCCATGACTTTGCTATTATGAATAGTCCTATGATAAACATAGACACAGGTGTTTTTTTTAATACAATGATTTTTTTCTCTTTAGTTACCCAGTAGTAGGAATGCTGGGTTGAATGGTCCTACTATTTTTGGTTCTTTGAAAAATCTTTATACTGTTTTCCACCGGGGCAGAGCTAATTTACATTCCCTCTAATAGTGTATAGGTCTACCCTTTTCTCCACAGCCTCGATACAATCTGGTGCTTTTGATTTTTAACAATAATCATACTGACTGGTGTAGGATGATGTCTCATTGCAGTTTTCATTTGCATTTCCCTGTTGATTAGTAACAGTAATAGTGAGCTTTTTTTTCATATATTTGTTGGCTGCTTGTATATTTTCTTTTGAGAAATATCTGTTCAAGTCCTCTGCTCATTTCCTAATGGGGTCATTTACCTTTTCTTTGTTGATGTGTTTGAATTCCTTGTAGATTCTGGATATTGGTCCTGTGCTGGAGGCACAATTTAAAAATGTTTCTCCCATTCTTTAGGGTTTCTGTTTACTCTGCTGATTATTTCTTTTGCTGTACAGAAGCTTTTTAGCTTAATTAAGTTTAATTTATCTAATTTTGTTTCTATTGCATTTGTTTTTATGTTAAGCAGAAATTATTTCCTTACGGCAATGTCCAGAAGAGTTTTGTCTAGGTTTCCTTATAGTACTTTTATATTTTCCAATCTTACATTTAAGTTATTTATCCATCTTGAGTTAATTATTGTATATGGTGAGAGGTAGAGGTCCAGTTTTATTCTTCTGCAGATAGATAGCTAGCCAATTTTCCCAGCACCACTTATTGAATACAGTGTCCTTTCCCAATTGTTTATCTTTTTTAACTTTGCCAAAGCTCTGTTGGTTGTAAGTATGTGGCTTCCAAATTGTAAAAGAGGAAGTTGAATTATCTCTGTTTACTGATGAAATGACTTTAGAAAACCAAAACGACTCCTCTGGAAGACTCCTAGACATAAACGACTTTAGTCAAGTTTAAGGATACAATACCACTGCACTAAAATCAATAGCATTTCTTTTTTTTTTTTTTTTTTTGAGATGGAGTCTCCAGTAACAGTCAAGCTGGGAACCATTTCGAGAACTCAATCTCATTTACAATAGCCACACATTAAATATATACCTAAGAATATACTTATCCAAGAAAGTGAAAGATGTCTACAAGGATAACAACAAAACATTGATAAAAGGATTAATAGGTGACACAAACAAATGGAAAAACATCCCATTCTCATGGATTAGAGAAATCAATATTAGTAAAATTACCCAATTGCCCAAAACTATCTGCAGATACAACACAGTTCTGACCAAACTATCAATGCCATTCTTCACAGAATTAGGGAAAAAATCCTAAAGTTTATATGACACCAAAAAAAGAGCCTGGATAGCCAAAACGATCTTAAGCAAAAAGAACAAAGCCAGCCTGTCTCTACTAAAAATACAAAAAATATCCGGGCATGGTGGTGCACACCTGTAGTCCCAGCTACTTGGGAGGCTGAGGCGGGAGAATGGCTTGAACTCGGGAGGCAAAAGTTGCATCACATTACCTAACTTCAAATTATACTACAAGGCTATAGTAACTAAAACAGCATGGTACTGGTATAAAAATAGACACATAGATCAATGGCACAGAATAGAAAACCCTGAAATATCTGAGCACTTTGAGCTCTTTGGATCCAGGAACCAGTGGGTAAGAAGTCACTATCTTGGCAAGCTTCAGAGGAGGAGCCTGCTTTTTTTACCTGAATTCATAGGAGGATCCAGATGTTTTCACATAATGGAAGTCAGGATAGAATCCCAGGGATTTGTCTGTGTAACATTTGATTCTCTCTTGCCTAATTGTTGCAGTGAACAGGCAAATGCAGTCACCCTCACCTTGAGAAGCATAAGAATATCTAAGTCTTAGGCACTCATAATACAAGTTTGGGTCACACTACTAAAAAACCAAACACACACACACACACACACACAAAAACCACCACCACAACAAAAACCCGAAGAGGTGATAATTCCGAGAATAAGGGAATATTTAGAATGAATAATGGAGAAGGGAGAAGATGATTACCTGATTCAGTTCTGAGACCTGTATTAGAGGAAGTGACTATAATTTGTCCAACTAAGTTCTCTCTTTTAGGTTTCTTTTCTGAAGAGAAGGTCTCAGTAAACCTGCAGGAACTGCTTGCCAAAAATATGTGGAGTAGATTGGTACTGTGCAAGGGATATAAGAAGTCAGCCATGGCTGGGCTTGGTGGCTTACGCCTGTAATCACAGCACTTTAGGAGGCTGAGGTGGGAGATCACCTGAGGTCAGGAGTTCGAGACCAGCCTGGCCAACATGGTGAAACCCTGTCTCTACTAAAAATACAAAAATTATCCTGGCATGGTGGTGCACACCTGTAGTCCCAGCTACTTGGGAGGCTGAGGCAGGAGAATGGCTTGAACTCAGGAGGCAAAGGTTGCAGTGAGCCAGCATCATGCCACTGCACTCCATCCTAGGTGGCAGAGAGAGAGACTCTGTCTCAAAAAAAAAAAAAAAGCCGTTTAAGGTGTGCCACTGGACCTCCCTTCAAGTGAGAAACTACTCTGAGACTTACAGTCAGACAATAGCCTCCAGCTTTCACGCCTTCAGGATCTACTGCAACACTGAGGTCATATTCTCTTTGGGCTGCTCCCAGACAATGTCTAAGCTCAGCAGGAATACTAGAGGTACAAAGGCTATAGTCTCAGCTGCTCCCAACTACCATGTGTCCCCTTTCTCTTCTCTTTTCACAACTATCATATCTACATTGAAGTAAAAGTACTCCCTGCCAACTTCTGCTCCTTCCTCCCTTTAACTTTAGAAGGCATTACTCACACCAAATCCCATTCACATTCAATTCGCTTTATGTTTCTTCTTCCTAGAGGACCCAACATGGCACACTAACTTTACCAATCTACTAACTCTTGCCTTCATATGAGACAAAATAAGACCAACACTGTTTGTAACACTATAGTTCAATTACAGTCAATTCATTTCAAGATGCATTTACTGAGTACCTTATGTGTGACAAATAATATGGACATATGTTTATGTATATATACACAGCCACCCACACATACTAAAAAATTAGGCATGATTTCTATCTTTAAGAAATATAGAGTTTATCTGGAGAGACAAACAGATTTAAAATACTGTAATCCCATATTTTAATGGGAGTTCATTGAATTGCTTTGGGATAAGAGAAGCTCAAAACACTTATGACTAGGAGTCTCTGGGATAATTTTATAGTGAATGTTTCTAACACTTGACCCATTTGTGATACATTTTGTTTTCCAAAAATCGCCATAAGACCATTTTTAGTCTCATATGACGCTCCAGAAGCTTAGCAGTCTCTTCTAGAGGTGGAGTCCATTTTCCCTCCCTTGAACCTCTGATGGTGTTTGAAACTGCTGCTTTTAATAGAGTAGAATGCAGCAGAGGTGATACTGCATTACTTCTAAGTTTTAGGTAAAAAAAAAAAAAAAAAAAAAAAAAGTTGATACAATTTTCCTCTCAGGACATGCAAGCCAATATAAAAACCAAAACAAAACAAAACAAGAACCTGTGCTTCCTTAAAGAATCAATGTTGGAGAGACACAGGAAGAGACTCCATGGAGATAAAAAGAAATGCCCAAGAAGGCTTGGCTGTTTGAGGTGTCCTACTCCAAGCCTTAACATGTGTGTGAGCAAGACATCAGATAATTCTAGCAAACAGTCTTCCAACTGCACTGGGGTAGCAGAGACCAGCTTTCCCTTTCAAGGCCTTTCCAAATTTCAGAGTCATGACTAAAACTACTGTTATTTTAATCCACTCAAATTTGATGTAGTTCATTATGCAACAACAAATAACTGAAAAAGACAATTAGACAAAGTGTTTGGCAAAGCACTGAAGTATTTGTGATTTAAATTATGATTATTTAAGTGCCAGAATTAAAAAAAATAAATCAATAAACAAATACTAAATGTGAAAGATATGTCTGTTAAAAGTGCATCCCTGCATTTCTATCTCTCCATCTATACATACAGCATCTGTTATTCTGATAGGTATGGTTTATATATAACATCTTTTAGCATTATGCAATTTTTATTATGGGCAACAAGTTAAAGATTTTCTTTAAACCATCAAAGTCAGTGTTTTTTGGCAATATTTTCATCTTACACAATGTCAGTAAATATTTTTGAATGAATTAAATAATACGAACTTCAGAAAAATAAGATTATACTTTACTATCACATAAATGTCAGAAAAGGCTATAGCTTAATAATCAGAATTTTATAATATTCAATTTCTTGCAGATGCAATGTTTCTAGGATTATACATATAGAAATACCACATTATACTCAAAATATGAATATACTTTAAGACAGCATATATAGGCAAAAATATACAGGAAAATAAATTATATATGTATCTACTTAATATATATAATCACAGACAAAAATATAAAAAGAGCTCATCTGATATTAAAATTACTGCTTAATATTATTATTTCTATATAATAGGTTATCTAAGATTTACAAGTATAAGGAAGGATATGTGATTGAAATGTAATATGTGATTTAATAACTTTTTATATATTTGTATCTATAAATTTTGTTTGACTTCACTGAATGTTTCTCACCTTAAATCTATATCATGTACTGTGGTCCAGGAATCTATAAAATAGCTTTTACTTTTGCCTAGTAAAAAGAAAGAAAAAACTAGTGGAGATCACAGAAATTTGGTTTTAATACTAGAAAATGTGTATGT
The DNA here is from genome assembly GCF_000001405.40 of Homo sapiens. Taxonomy (NCBI): domain Eukaryota; kingdom Metazoa; phylum Chordata; class Mammalia; order Primates; family Hominidae; genus Homo; species Homo sapiens. The sequence goes on along the minus strand of NC_000003.12, from coordinate 166,544,368 downwards.
ATTCACAGTCCTGGAAATATACGGCTAGAATAAAAAATTGTGGTCCACTAACACAATTTCCTCATTACACACTAAAAGATGATATTGGTCCAAAATACAAAATTTCAACAACAACAACAAAAAGTAAATAGAAAAAAAAATCCTCTCTCCAAGTTCATGAGGCAGGTTCTTTTTGAAATCAAATAATACTTCTTTGAATTCATCTGGGGTATTTTTTGTTTTTTATTTTATTTATTTATTTATTTTGGAGATAGTGTCTTGCTCTTTCACCCTGACTGTTGTGCAGTGGCACAATCTCCGCTCACTGCAACCTCCACCCCCTGGGTTCAAGCAATTCTCCTGCCTCAGCCTCCCTAATAGCTGGGATTACAGGTGTGTGCTACCACACCCTGCTAATTTTTGTATTTTTTGTAGAGACAGGGTTTCACCATGTTTGCCAGGCTAATCTTGAACTCTTGACCTCAAGTAATCTGCCCTCCTCGGCTTCCCAAAGAGCTGAGATTACAGGTGTGAGCCATTGTGCCCAGCATCTGTGGCACTTTTATCTTTCCACTTACTTGGTGAGCATTGTTTCACCCCCTACGACCAGCCCACCTCCCACCAAAATCTGTAAGATCAAAGCAAAATAGGGTCCTAACTTAAATAAACTCTAAGGAGTCTCCAAGTTAGCCCAGTGGTTTCTGGTTGATAATGCATAATTTGGGTTAACTACATATATTGGCAACCAGTTTGGGATAATTTTGCAAGTGACAAAGTTATCCACAAAAGCAGTCAAGATTATTTTAATAGAGAAAATTTTATAAAATATCTTGTTTACCAGGGCATTAGAAACTATAAGGGAAAAAAGCAAAATAAACAAAAATGGACATTGCATTTTTGCAATAACTGAAGAAGCAGTTTCTACACCTAGGATTGGAAGGATGAACAGAAGTTAGGATTACTAAAACTTTGTGGCTTAGAGGAAAGTATCTGGAAACCTCAGACTCAAGGCGGTAGGGCACTAGGTGGCTGGCAGAGGGAACTTTGATGGGCCATCGTGAGGGAAATCAGGTTGAAAAAAACTGCAAAATGGAACCCTATGCTACTATTAGAATCAAGGATCCCTGTTAGGACGGAGAAATAGTGCTGTGATAAAGCTGGCAGGTAGAAGCAAGTCCTTTTTACATTCTCCAGACCAAGTAATCCTCTTTGCCATAGCTTAACTGTGATCTAGTAGACCAAGGAGGGGTTTGCAGTCTTTCATCCCAGCTCACATACAAGATTATTGAGGTGGACTAAGAGCTGAAAGACAAAAGATTAATAAAAAACACACTTTTCTTTTTGAGTAAACAAATATACATTATCTATAGGTATTATTACTTATAATGTTTGAGAACATCTATTTCAGTTTAATTCTACACTTGAAGATCACCTAGTAAGTGCAACTTATTGTTCAATGTGCTGAAGATTAATAAATTGACAAAATACAGCTTCTGCTCTTAAGGAATTCACAATATTTTAAAGTAGATATAATAATTAAATGTAATAAGTAAATGTAAATAAATTAAAGTAAATGTAGAATAGTAGAATGGCACTTAATTTTAAAAGGAAAATTCAAACAATGTCTTGCCTTTAAAAGCAATCTCTCTCTCTCTTTTTTTTTTTTTAAATGAGTTTCACTCTTGCCACCCAGGCTGGAGTGAAGTGGCGTGATCTCACCTTACTTCAATCATTGCCTCCTGGGTTCAAGAGGTTCTCCAGCCTCAGTCTCCCATTATGATTAATGCTGCTGTGAACATTCATGAAAAGTTGTGTGTACATAAATTTTTATTTTTTCTGAGTACATACCTAGGAATCGAATTGTGGGTCAGTTAATATCTCTATATTTTTTAGCCTTTTCAAGTGTTGCCAATCTGCTTTCCAAAGTGTCTATAACATTTCACATTTGTATCAGTAGTGTAGTGGGTTTTAATTTGTTCATATCCTTACCAACAATTGAAATTATCTCCCTTTTTCATTATCACCATTTTAGTGGGTGTGAAGTGGTACCTCATTAAGATTTTAATTTGCATTTCCCTGATGCCTGATGATGTTAAGCATCTTATTGTACTTATTGGCCATTTGTATTTCTTCTTTGGAGAATGTTTATTCAGATCAATTCCCCATTTTGTAACTGGATTATTTGCCTTTTTGTTATTGAGTTGAAAGAGCTCCTCATATATTGTAGATAAAAGTCTTTTCTAAGTTATAATTTACAAAAATTTTCCACCCATTCTGTGGGTGAGTTTCTAATCTCCTGATGATGTTCTTTAAATCACAAAAGTTTTTAATTTGATGATGTCCAATTTATTTTTATCTTTTGCTGCTTGTTCTTTTGATGTCATATCTAAATAAATTGTTTAATCCATAAAAGTTATGCTTTTGTTGTCTTCTAAGAGTTTTCTACTTTGATTCCTACCTTTTAGATATTTTATCTACTTTTAAGTTATTTTTTAATATGATGTGACATATAAATCCATCCCTTTTGCATGTGGATATCCAATTGTCCCAATACCATCTGCTAAGACTACCTGCCATGGAGTTTGCTTGGTACTCTTGATAAAAGTTAATAAGACTATAAATGTGAGGGTTTATTTCTGGACTATCAATATTATTACAATGATCTCTATATCTACTCTTATGCCAATACCACACTGTCACAATTAGTGTAATTTTGTAGTAAGTTTGAAAGTAGGAAAATGTGAGTCCTTCAACTTTGTGCTTTCTTTTCAAGGTTATTTTGGCTATTTTGGGTCCTTTGAATTCCCATATGAACTTTAAGATCAGCTTATTAATTTCTAAAAAGAGGCCAGCTGGAATTATGATAAAGATTGTGTTAAATTTTTAGGTCAATTGCTGTCTTAACAATATTTATTTTTCTAATCCAGAAACCTAAGATTTTTTTTTCTTTTTATTTGGATATTTAAAATTATTTTTAACAATTCTTTGTACTTTTCCAAGTATATTTTTGGATTTCTTTTGTTAATGTATTCCTTTAATAATTATTCTGTTTTGATATTATTGTCAATGGAAATGATTTAATTTCATTTTCAGTTTGTTAATTGCTATTGTATAGAAATGCAGTTGGTATTTGTACACCGATTTTGTATTCTGCAAAGAGGCCAAATTTATTAGTTCTTATAGGATCTTAGTAAAATCCTTGAAGCTTCCTATATAGACCTAAAAATAGAAATACTTTCACTTCTTGCTTTGAATGCAGATGTATGTTCTATTATTTCATTGTTTAATTGCCCTACCACCTCCAGTGTAATGTTGCATAGAGATAGAGAGACTGGGCTTCATGGCATTGTTTCTGATTTTAGTGGGGAAGCACACAGTCTTTCACAATTAAACAAGATGTTAGCATTAGGTTTTCATACATGTCCTTTATCAGATTGAGCATCTCATTTTTATTTTCAATTTTAATTTGTTGAGCACTTTCTCATGAAAGTGTGTTGAATTGTGTCAAATGTTTTCTGCATCTATTGAAACGATCATATGGATTTTGCATGTTATTCTATTTACATGGTGTATTCTATTTATATTAATTGATTTTCAGATGTTAAACCAATGTGGCATTACATATGTACATAAATCTCTGTCTCTATCTCTCTATTTATTGATCGATCTCTCTATAAGGTTATTCAGTTTGCTAGTATCTATTATCTTGTGGGGCATTTATTTTGATTACATTTCTAAAGGATATTGGTCTGCGTTTTTTTTTTTCTTTCTTTCTTTCTTTCTTTCTTTCTTTCTTTCTTTCTTTCTTTCTTTCTTTTCTCATGATATCTTTGGTATTGGTATCAGGATAATACTGGCCTCAAAGAATGAACAGAAAAATGTTTTTGTCTTCCATTTTTTGGAAGGGTTTTGGAAGAATTTCTGTTTTGTTTTTTTTTTTTGTCTGTTTGTTTGTTTTGTTTTGTTTTTACCATTTGGTAGAATTTACCAGTGAAGCCATCAAGGCCTGGGCTTTCTCTTTTATTTTTTGTCATTCCAGTGGGATTCATCGAGGTTTGTCAATTTTGCTGATAGTTCAAATAACCAGACTTGGGGTTTCCTGATTTTCTTTATTGTTTTACTAAACTCTGTTTTATTAATTTCTGTTCCAGTCCTTATTATTACTTTCTGCTCAGTCCTTATTATTACTTTCTGCTTACTTTTTGTCTTTTTTTCCAGGGTCTTTAAGGTGAAAATAAGTAGTGATTTGAAATATTTTATTTTTTTTAAATATAGACAATGTTAGGTATACATTACCACCTATATTTTACTTTAGCTATATTGATGTTTTTATTTTAATTCATCCAAAAGATTTTTGGCTTGTTTGTTTACTTTTCTGTGATCTTTTTTCTTTGACCAATTGGTTATCTAAAAGTCTTTTTTAATTTTCTTATATTTGTGAATTTTTAAAGTTATATCCTGTTATCAATTTCTTATTTCACTCAATTGTGAACAAATGGCTTACATTTGATTATTTCAATTAATTTAGATTTATTGAGACTTCCTTTATGGGCTTCCATATAGTCCATCCTGGAGAATGGTTCATGTGCACTTAGGAAAAATATGCATTCTCCTGTTGTTGAGTAGAAAGTTCTATAGATGTGTGACAGGCCTAGTTTGTATATAGTATTGTTGAAATCTATTTTTATGTTGCTTTCTTTTCTACCAGGTAGTATACTTTAACCACATAATTTTTATTTGGTTATTTTTTCTGTTGAATACTATTTTTTTTTCTGTGTATGGGTTATACTTTCCTATTTCTTTACATATTTCATAATATGTTGTTGTTGTTGTTGTTGTTGTTGTTGTTGTTAAAACTTGGGTATTTTTTCCAGCCTGGGCGATAGAGCAAGACTCTGTCTCAAAAAAAACAAAAAAAAACTGGGTATTTTGGTTGGGTGCGGTGGCTCACGCCTGTAATTCCAGCACTTTGGGAGGCTGAGGCGGGCAGATCACGAGGTCAAGAGATCAAGACCATCCTGGCCAACACGGTGAAATCCCATCTCTACTAAAAATACAAAAAAATTAGCAGGGCGTGGTGGCAGGCACCTGTAGTCCCAGCCACTCAGGAGGCTGAGGCAGGAGAATTACTTGAACCCAGGAGGCAAAGGGTGCAGTGAGCCGAGATCGCGTCACTGCACTCCAGCCTGGTGACAGAATGAGACTCCCTCTCAAAAAACAAACAAACAAAAAAAACTGGGTATTTTAAGAAAAGTGTTGTACCAACTCTGGATACTAGTCCCTGTCCCAACCTTAGGTTTTTTTCCTTAGGGCTGTATGGTATGACGCAATTTCTTTCTTTCTTTCTTTCTTTCTTTATTTTTAATTTCCATAGGCTTTTGGGGAACAGGTAGTGTTTGGTTACATAAGTAAGTTCTTTAGTGGTGATTTGTGAGATTTTGGTGCTCCCATCACCCAAGCAGTATATACTGTACCGAATTTGTAGTCTTTTATTTCTCACCCTATTCCCATCCTTTCTCCCAAGCCCCCAAAGTCCATTGTATCACTCTTATGCCTTTGCATCCTCAAGCTTAACTACCACTTTTTGTTGTTTGCTTGTTTATTTTCTTAGAAACACGAATGAAATATATTACTGATGTCTATTACACCTAGAGTATGAAGCCTGTGGTGTGAAGCCTTTGGCGTAGCTACGCAGAGGGCTCAGCCTAGGGATTGGGCACAGTCACGCTGAGATAACAATGTTTTTTTGGCCAGGAAGTTTACCTCTGATTGTCTCTTTTTCTTTTTTCTGTTTTAAGCCATGGACCTCTTTGGTATTACACCTGCCACATAGGCTCAACTATTTACAGGCTGATTGCTATATTATTTTAAATAATGCTCTGGGGCATAAATGCTTCGCAGACTGGTCTAAATAAATTTAGTCAGAGGTAGTTTTAGAAGCAGGCATAGTTTTTGAAATATAATTTTTCCTTAAATACAGAATCTTAGTTTCTTTTTATTTCAACACTTTAAATATTTCACTTGACTCTTTTTTAGTCATATGGGTTTTTAAGAGAAATCCAGTTTAATTCTTATCCTTGTTTCTCTACAGATAAGATACTGAAGGGTAGGTATAGATTACTTACTATTTATCCTGCTGGGTGTTCTGTGAGCTTCCTGAATCTGTGGCTCAGTGTCTGTCTTTAGTTTTGAAAAATCCCAAGTCATTATTATGTCAAGTGTTTCTTCTGTTCCTTTCTTTCTGCTTTTAGTATTCCCATTATGTCTCCATAATCCTTGTGGGATTATAAAAACTGTGATCCCACAGTTCTTGCATATTTTGTTCCTTTTTTTTTTTTTTGGCGGTTTTCTTTTTTTTTTTTTTTTTTTGAGACGGAGTCTCGCTCTGTCGCCCAGGCTGGAGTGCAGTGGCGCAATCTCGGCTCACTGCAAGCTCCGCCTCTCGGGTTCACGCCATTCTCCTGCCTCAGCCTCCCGAGTAGCTGGGACTACAGGCGCCCGCCACTACGCCCGGCTAATTTTTTGTATTTTTAGTAGAGACGGGGTTTCACCGTGTTAGCCAGGATGGTCTCGATCTCCTGACCTCGTGATCCGCCCGCCTCGGCCTCCCAAAGTGCTGGGATTACAGGCGTGAGCCACCGCGCCCGGCCGGCGGTTTTCTTTTTACTGTCTTTACTTTTCAGTTAGAGACGTTTCTATTGACATAACTTCTAAATCACTGCTTTTCTCAAAAGTATCCTGTCTATTGAAAAGCCCGTCAAACACTTTCTGTCTGTTATATTTTTAACTTCTAGCATTTCCTTTTGAGTCTACTGTAGTTTCTTTCTCCTGCTCACATTACCCATCTGTACCTTTGTGTTGTTTACTTCTTTCCACTGGAGCCCTTAGTATATTAATCATAGTTATTTTAAATTCCCTGTCTCATTATACTAAAACTTCTGACATATTTGTATCTTGTTTGTCTCTTCAAACTTTTTGCCTTTTAGCATGTGCCATGGTCTGAATGTTTGTGTCACCTCAGAATTCATATGTTGAAACCTAGTCCCCAATGGTATTAGAAAGAGAGGTCCTTTAGGAAGTGATTAAATTATGAATGGGCTTAATGTCTTCATAAAATTGGCCCAACAGAGCACATTCATGCCTTCTACCATAGATGACACAGCTAGAAGGCACTGTTTTATAAGCCAGAAAGCAGTTCCTCAGCAGGTGCCAAGTCTGCCAACACCTTGATCTTGGGATTCCCAGCCTCCAGAACTGTGAGAAATACATTTCTGTTCTTCATAAGCAACCCAATCTATCATATTTTGTTTCAGCAGCCCAAAAGGACAAAGATAGTTTTGTCCAAAAATTCAGTAAAAATTTTGTACAAAAATTCAGTAATTTTTTGCTGAAAATCAGACATCAGGGATTGGATAAAAGAAACTGAGGTAAGTAATCTTTTAATATGAGGTTTTATGTTTATCGGTTTATGAGTTAGTCTGTATGTTTGCTATACCTGTATGTCTCCGACCTGTATGTCTCAGATGCTTCAACTTCCTCCAATGCCCTCTTTGGTCTTCCTTATTGTCTTTGAGTTTCCCTAGAAACTCTTTCTTAAATAGGATCTTAGTTTTACAGTTCTTTTAGCTATAATCCACTGTTATAATACAGGTGCTTGATTTAATGTGGTAGCAAGGTATGGAGGGAAAGGAAGTATTCTTTTTTTTTTTTTTTTTTTTGAGACAGAGTCTCGCTCTGTCACCCAGGCTGGGGTGCAGTGGCATGATCTCGGCTCACTGCAAGCTCCACCTCCCAGGTTCACGCCATTCTCCTGCTTCAGCCTCCCAAGTAGCTGGGACTACAGGCGCCCGCCACCACGTCCGGCTAATTTTTTGTATTTTTAGGGTTTCACCACGATGGTCTCGATCTCCTGACCTCATTATCCGCCCGCCTCGGCCTCCCAAAGTGCTGGGATTACAGGCATGAGACACCGTACCTGGCCAGGGAAAGGAAACATTCTATGTTTCCGTTGAGTCTCAGTCTTTTAGTGAGCCTGCATCATGGTGTTGTAACTTTCACAAGTGCTTTTCAGCTTTGTTTTTTTCTTCCTTAGGTGAGACAAGGAGGATAGAGGGGGCTTAGGTTATCTGTATACCTTCATTTACATCAAAAGCTAGATGGAGCTAGAATTGGCTGTTTTCTTTCCCCACATAAAAGGCAGGAATGAAGTCGGATATTTTCCTCACCCCAGGCTAGTTAGGCACCGGTAAAACCCTAGTAGGTTAAACTGTGGTGAAAATGCTTTATTTTAAGAGCAGTTCCTTTTAAAGGAGAAGAGAATGTCGTAGACATATATTGAAATGGTTGTCTTTTCTCTTCTGCTGCCAGAAGCGAGAGAGGATTGTTTTGATGTTGTTGTTCTTCACCCTGAGAACCTGATGAAACTGCTGGAGGTAAAACTCAGAGAAATGTGCTCTCCCCTCTCCTGCCCCACTGTCCCTAAAAGTTAGGCCTCCAGTGTTTTTAACTCTCAAGTTAGTCCACAATAGATTGCTAGAAATGGTTCAGTTGCAACTTGAATATTTCTACCGGTATTATCTCCAGTTGTCTTCTGCCCCTGAGGCTCTACTCCTGTGATTCTGCTTCTAGTAATCTGTAATTGTCAGTATCCATATATAATTTCACTTTGCAGAGCAGTGATTTTCCCTATAACTTCAGTTATCTGGTGGGTATAAAATGAGTTGCTGCTCTTCGGTTTGTTCAATTTTATTTTATTATGAGAATGGTAATGATGAACACTAAGATAATTTTAGAAATTGGAATTCCTAATTTTTAAAAAGTATATTGTAGTAATTCATTGCTACCTCCTTAGGAATAACTGCTGCCTCGGCTTTCAGGACTGATTTTGAGTTGTAATGATCTTTTATTATGGTATCATGAACTGGTTTTGTTGTCAGAGTAATTATAGCCTCATAAAATGTGTTGGGAGATATTCCTACCTCTTGACATTTTTGTAAAAGCACGTGTGTCTTCATTTTATTTATAATTAAGCGTTTGGTAGGACTTACCATTGATGCCATCTGAGCCTGAAGTTTTCTCCATGAAAAGATTTTTAAGTACATATTCAAACTATTTGGTAGGGAGTTACACAGTTACAAAGGAAACAACTTTGATCATTTGTGTCTTTCAAAAAAATGGTTCATCAAAATCATCAAGTTTTTATAATGTATTAAACTATAGTTGTTCATAACTTTAACATAGTATCCTTTAATATCTGTAGACTCTATGGTGATATTGACTCTCTAACTTCTGATATTGGTAATATGAGATTTTTCTCTTTATACCTAATCTGTCAGGCTGGGGCTTTATCCATTTTTGATCATCAGATCTGCCATTTGGCTTCCTTCATTTTTTCCATTTTTTTCTGTCTTATATTTACTAGTTTCTACTCTGATATTTTTAAAGTTTATTTCTCTTTTTCTAAACATTAACCTTCATTCCTTCTTTTTTAATTTTCTCAAATGAAAAATTAAAAATATTAATTTGAGACATTTCAAATTTTTAGAATGTATTAAACTATAGTTGTTCATAACTTTTCCATAGTATCCTTTAATATCTGCAGACTGTAGTGATATTGCTCTCTCACTTCTGATATTGGTAACATGACATTTTTCTGTTTGTACCTAATCAGTCAGGCTATGGCTTTATCAATTTCTGATCTTCAAATTCACCTTTTAGCTTCCTTCATTTTTTCTACTCTTTTTCTGTCTTATGCTTTACTAGTTTCTGCTGTGATTTTTTCAAAATTTTTCTCTCTTTCTAAACATTGACCTCCATTTCTTCTTTTTTTTTATTTTCTTAAATGGAAAACAAAATATTGATTTGAGACACTTCTTGTCTCTAATTTTTCATTCTATTTTCCTTTGGTCCAAGTATTATTTAGAATGTTAATTACAAGTGTTTTATTTTTGTTTCCAAATATTTGGGCACTTTCCACATATGTTTCTATTGTTGAGTTCTAATTGAATTCTATGCTTGTCAGAGAACATAAACTTTGTGAGTTGAATATTTTATATGTATTAAGACTTCTGTGATCTAGAATACAGTCTCTCTTGATAGATATTCATGTTCTTTGAAAATACTATGTAGGCTAGTGTTGTTAGATACAGTGTTCTATAATGTCAATTAGGAATATGTTTGATAGCACTGTTCAAGCTTTCTGCATTCTTACTGATTTTTGTCTTTTTGTTCTACCAGTAACTAAAAAACATTACAAATTATTGAAACTATACCAGGTGGATTTGTTTATTTCTTTTCAAAATAGACTACCAGGTATAGTGTATTGTAGAAATCAGGAAGGCATTTTTAAACTTATTATTTCAAAATAATTTAAGGACATCAATAAACTTACAAATGTAGAGTTCCTATACACCCTTCACCTTGCTCCACCTAATGTTAACATCTTCTATAGCCATTGCGTAATTATCAAAAATTTCATGTTAATATGATACATGAACTAAACAATAAAAGATAAGGTGTTCTAAAACTCCATGATTAGATGTGTGAATGATTCGAATTATTGGGGGTTTTTGATAAATTGAATACTTTATCAATATGATGTAACCTTTTTGCTGTTATAATTATTTTATCTGAAGTCTTTGTTTAATACTAATAAAGTCACTAAACTTTTCCTTTTTCAGTTAGTGTGAACATGATACATTATTTTATATTCTTTAACTTTTAATCTGTTTGTGTATTTATAATTCAAGTTGTTTGTGAGTAGGCAGCATAGAGTTGTGTTTTATTTTCTGGTCCAATCTGACAATCTGCAATTTATTGGGCTGTTTAGACAACTTATATATTTAACTTTATTATTTATGTCTTAATTTTTTTTTCAATTTAGATCTACTATTTTTTATATTTGCTTTTTATTTGTATCAACCACTTTTGTACTCTTTTTCTATCTTCTCTAACTTATTTTGGATTATTTGAATATTTTGCATAATTCCATTCTATATCTTTTGCCTGTCACTCACAAATTACTGATGGCAAAATAACATACAGTAATGTTTCCATAGAGAATATTTCAATTTTTATACTTTCTACAAATTACATAGTTGTTTAATGAGTTTTGCCATTAAGGGCTTTGCATACAGAAATTCACTTATTTAGGAAAAATAATCAAAATAAACCATTTTAGATCATAGCTACTTAGCTACTTCCTGAACTGATATGGTTTGGCTGTGTCTCCAGTCAAATCTCAGCATGAATTGCAGTTCCCATAATTCCCATGTGTAGTGGGAGGGACCTAATGGGAGGTAACTGAATTATGGAGGAAGTTACCTCCATGCTGTTCTCATGATAGTTAGTTCTTATGAGATCTGATGGTTTTAAAAAGGGGTTTCTCCCCTGACCCTTTCACTTTCATTCTTATCCTTCTTGCCACCATGAAAGACGGAGGTGTTTGCTTCCCTTCCATCATGATTGGAGGTTTCCTGAGGCCTCCCTATCCCTGTGGAGCTGTGAGTAAATTATACGTCTTTCCTTTATAAATTACTCAGTCTCAGATATATCTTTATTAAGCAGCTTGAGAACAGACTAATACAGTAAATTGGTACTGGGGGTGGGGTGATGCTATAAAGGTACCCAACAATGTGGAAGCAACTTTAGAACTGGGTAATAGGCAGAGGTTGAAACAGTTTGGAGGGCTCAGAACAGGAAGGGAAATTGTGGGAAAGTTTGAAACTTCCTAGAGACATGTTGAATGGCTTTGACCAAAATGCTGATAGTGATATGGACACTAAGGTCCAGACTGAGGTGGTCTCAGATGGGGATGAGAAACTTGTTGGGAACTGGAGTAAAGATCACTCTTGCTGTGGAAAGAGACTGGTAGCATTTTGCCACTTACCTAGAGATATGTGGAACTTTGAACTTAAGAGAGATAATTTAAGGTATCTGGGGGAATAAATTTCTAAGCAGCAAAGTGTCAAGAGGAAGCAGAGCATAAAAGTTTGGAAAATTTGCAGCCTGATTGATGCGATAATAAAAGAAAATCCCATTTTCTGGGGAGAAATCCAAGCCAGCTGCAGAAATTTGCATAAGTAATGAGAAACCAAATGTTAATCACCAAGACAGTGGAGAAAATGTCTTCAGGGCATATCAGAGACCTTCCTGGAAGACACTCCTGTCACAGGCTTGGAGGCTTAGGAGGGAAAAATTGTTTCCTGGGCCAGGGCCAGGGCCTCCCTACTCTATGTAGCCTTGGGACATGGACCCCTGCATCATAGCTGCTTCAGCTCCAGCTGTGGCTAAAAGTGGCTAATGTACAGCTCAGGCCATTGCTTCAGAGGGTACAAGTCCTAAGTCTTGTTGGCTTACAGGTGATGTTGGGACTGTGGGTGCACAGAAGACAAGAACTGAGGTTTGGGAACCTCTGCCTAGATTTCTGAGGATGTATGGAAATGCATGGATGTCCTGGCAGAAGTTTGCTGCAGCAATGCAGCCCTCATGGAGAGCTTTGCTAGAGCAGTGCAGAAAGAAAATGTAGGATTGGAGCCCCCATACAGAGTCCCCACTGGGGCACTACCTAGTGGAGCTTTGAGAAGAGGGACAGCATCCTCCAGACCCCAAAATGGTAGATCCACCAACAGCTTGCACCTTGCACCTGGAAAAGTCACAGACACTCAATGTCAGTCTGTGAAGGCAGCCAGGAGGGGGACTTTACCCTGCAAAGCCACAGGGATGGACCTGTCCAAGGCTGTGGGAGGCCACCTTTTGCATCAATGTGACCTGGATATGAAAACATGGAGTCAAAGGATATTATTTCGGAACCGTAACATTTAACATCTGTCGTATTGAATTTCAGACTTGCATGAGGCCTGTAGCCCCTTTGTTTTGGCCAACTTATCCCATTTAGAATGGGTGTATTTACCAAATTCCTGTACCTCCATAGCATACAGGAAGTAATTAACTTCCTTTTGATTTTACAGTCCCATAGGCATTAGGGACCTGCCTTGTGTCAGATGAGACTTTAGACTTGGACTTTTGAATTAATGATGAAGTGAGTTAAGACTTTGGGCGACTGTTGGAAGGGCACGAGTATGTTTTGAATTGTGCGGACATGAGATTTTGGAGGGGCCAGGGGTTAAATGATATGGTTTGACTGAGTCACCAGTCATATCTCATCATGAATTGTAGTTCCCATAATCCCCATGTGTCATGAGAAGGACACAGTAGGAGATAATTCAATCATGGGGGTGGTTACCTCCATACTTTTCTCATGATAGTAAGTTCTCACAAGATCTGATGGTTTTATAAGGGACTTTCCCCCTCTTCACTCTAATTCTCCTTCCTGCTGACACAAAAAGAACATGTTTGTTTCCCCTTCCACCATGATTGTAAGTTTCCTGAGGCCTCCCCAGCCCTGCAGAACTGTGAGTCAATTAAGCTTCTTTCCTTTATAAATTACCCAGTCTCCAGTGTGTTTTTATTAGTAGTGCAAGAGCAGACTAATACACCAACTAATAGCTGATATTTTCTGCATTAATAAACCATTCAAGATCTTTTCTTTTTGATCAACCCAGAACTCTAAAGTAGAAATATGCAAAAGTTTTGGTCAACATAATGTGAAATTATAGGCAGAGAATGTATTTAACTGTCACCCACATGTGGTCACATCATCTTCTGAACTGAATGTTAAAATGAATATCACATTGGAATTTATAATCAATTTTAATCTTTAACCCTTCAGTATGACAGATTTCTTTACTCTCCACCCATACTTCACCTTGCCTACCATGCCTCATTCATGCCCTAATGATATCAACTCCATCTTTCCATGTGGTACAATTATATTACCTAAAATAATATCCCCAACTATTATTTAATTCTATATTATTTTAAATTATTTTTGTCAGTGTAATTCTATTAAAGTTCTAAGAAATAAGCATACTGTAATACTTAAATGTTTATTCAATATCCAGAATCCCAACATCATAGCCTGTATTTGTAGATTATATATAAACACAGAATCTTTAATATATAGTTTTCCCATTCATTAGGCATCCTTAGTGGTGGAAACATCTTAAAACGAAATATCCTTGGTATGATATTAATGAATTAAGTAAAGTTCAATTCTCTTGTAAAGGAAATGTTGAATAGCAAAATATTAGAATATACAGGAAAGATAATTTAAAGATAGGCTTCATGATCAGAGATAATAGATGGAAATTACAAAGTAAACATTTTACTTCATGCAGACTGAAACAAATTGTTTTCCTAATCTTATATTATGGTAACACATACTCTCTCTTCTATCTTTCTGCAAGGTACACATTTCCTACTGCTTACTTATACAGTAAGCAGTATAAGTAATATATTACTTATAAGTCATATAGGTCAAAAATTCAGAATAATTCTAAAACACATTATGCACCATGCTTATTGATTCTTAAAAGAAGTTTTCACTAATTTTACATAAGTTTCTATGATGGGGTAACAGGAATGAGCTCTGAGAATGCTTGCTATCTCTCCAGAAATGCCATGTACAGATTTAGGAAAATTAAAATTTGAAATATTGTTATACATTTATTGGGTTTTTAGATTACTAGATCTAATTGATGAAATAAATTAAACACACAAACACAAAAAACTAGAGCAACTGTTCAAACTGGCATTTTTTTCCTCTTTCTGTACATAGCTTTGGAATGCATTACTTTGGAGAATCAGTTACAAAATACAACAAAAATCATATGCTATATACAAGCAACAGTCATATTTATTGGATACCCAGTAGTTAATAAAATAAATCTTCACAACCTAGATAGGTTCTTGGAAACTGAAACTTTAAGCAAAACAATGTATAATAAAACCATTTTTAATCAATGTTATAAAAAATAACATTACATGATGACATGGTTTGCTGTGCCCCTACCCAAATCTCATCTTAAACTGTAGTACTCCTAATCCCTATGTGTCATGGGAGAAGCCTTGTGGGAGGAGATTAGATTATGATTGAGTTCTCACAAGATCTAATGGTTTTATAAGGGGCTTTCTCCCTCTTCACACTGCACTTCTCTCTCCTGCCATGTAAAGAAGGATGTTTTTCTTCCCCTTTTGCCATATTTGTAAGTTTCCTGAGGCCTCCCCAGCCATGCGGAGCTGTGAGTCAGTTAATGCTCTTTTATTTATAAATTACCCAGTCTCTGGCATTTCTTCACAGCAGTGTGAGAATGAACTAATACACGGGAAAAAATATTGTTTCAGAACCTGCTGTATGTTCTTTTGCTTAAAGTCACAGTTTCCAAAAACTGATCAACAATGTTAAGTGAGAACATACTAAAAAGTAGAAATATGTCCTCTTTAAAAATTTTTTCCATGTTATTTTAAAACTCAATTTATGATTATTAGCCTTTACATTATGGATTTGATGTATATTTGAGGTAAGAGTAAATATAAATATTTTTATCAAGTGACATTTTTCCATTGGTTTAAATATTGTCTGAAAATTAACACTTTTTGACTGACTCAACAGACTGTTACAATTTGTTTGCCAGCCACTGACACACACTATAAATTCAGGGAGAAACAATTCTTTCCTTTTAGGAGCTCTTTCTCTTGAATGAGAGAAAAAGCATAAATATCAATATTAAAAATACCTCAGAAAGTAATACACTTCAAAAAATAAACAAAAAAATAAAAACTGCTTTAGTAATTTAAAGAAGCAGGACATTTTGTTTAGCTTGCCTGCTGAAGGGCACATGAGGAATAATATGTAGTGATTCAAATTATAAAAATTTTGGTTTGCATATTAGGTAAAGATTAAGAAGCAGACTCAGAAACTAATACAGAGCCTATCCTAAAATGATTGAAGGCATTTCAAGACCAAACAATTGTGAATGCTACTGGATACCATAGCAGATCATTTCATGAAGTAGGAGATTTCACAATTTATATTTATCACAACTCTCATATTTATGTTTAATGTGCTTAAACTGCACTCCATATTGAGAAAATGAATACTTACACACAACATACAGTTTAGTCTAGCCTTTATATCAACAATTTCTTGCAATGCATTGTTAAATAATTAATATAAAAGCAAGATTTGATTCATATCTGTATTGGCAAATTGATTGAAAGGTGGTGATAGACTCAGAGTGACAACATTGACATTATTATCTTAAGAAATATCTATGAAAAATAATAAGTTTCATGAATTATATAAATGTGTTTAGTATCATCACAGCATAAAGAAAATAATAACACTTAAAAATTTGTTTTCTGATTTGCTTGCTTTGCAATTGTTTTATCAAATATTTGAAAGCTTTTCATTATTTTTCAACCCATAGACATAGAATTAAACACAATAGGTTTTTGATTTAAAACAACTCTAAAATCTCATTAAAGCATCATTCTCTGCAATAGGCTATGACAATAAGTAAGTGTTTTAGAGGTTTTTTAAAATCAAACTGAGATTTTATATTTAGGAAAATAATATATGAAAATAAGTATTTGTAATGATACATTTTATGACAATAATTCTGTCAACCATTATGGCATGGCATTGGACATATTTTGTATTCTGCATTGGATAAGGATGTCACAATATAAAGTCAAACACAGTGAATATAAATTACCATATGTGAAATTTCTAAGGAGAGGAAAGGTTTGGACTAAAATCTATGAGCTAGAGACAATTATTCTATAATTACTTTTGCTTCAGGAATCAATGTATTATAGGGGTGTGTGTGTGTGTGTGTGTGTGTGTGTGTGTGTAAAAGCCACCTTATTTTTAAGGACGGGTGAGTTATACATAAATAACTGTCTAACTCAATGACTCAGAGGCAGCACAGATTCAATTACTGTGGTATAAGCATAGGAATACTCTATGCGAGGTCTGGGACACAATCCAAAAAATAAAAGTACTATTCTGTATCCATGGATATGTAGGTTATTATTCTCAGTCAATAGAAGATAACTCAATATGCCCAGAATTTTGGTAGACAAAGAGGTTAAACATAAAACCATTAGTGGGGAATGGTGATCATTTAACTTAAATATCAAATCAAATCCTTTGCAATTTGGTTAGAAGAATAAATTTATCACTGCTGCTAAAGTGCAGTATACTGTGTGCTATAGACTTCTTTGCAGAAAACAATGACACATGTTTAATATATATTCATACTGTAGAGTGATTTCCTATTGCAAATGATTGGAAAACACTTCTGGCATCCTAATGTTCCTGTGCTGATGGGCTCTTCTGTTGTTCAATGTGTCTAAAGCAATAAAATCAGCTTGTAAGCTTTGCCTCAGCAGCTGAGCACTGCATGCGTTCAGGTCATTATGGCAGTAGGGATGCTCAGTTGGGAAAATGGTGTATAAATAACTGACAACATGAGCGAAGTCTGATTTTACTGGCCAGTTACTATTTTTAGGATCCCCTTGCATTTGAAAAGATGTATGCTCCTGAGGAATTGAGTGTAAGAGCATGAATGCTAACTCCACTCTGACAACACAAAAGCCATTGCTAGGAAATGGTTGTTTTAGAAATGAGTTTCGAAAATCAAAGTAGTTCTTTTTTTAATGTAAGTATACTGTACGTTTTGTTAAATATCACTATGGGAACATTTAATAAAATTCCCTCAAAATCTAAATCTCAGGGCAAGTCAACACTAGTTTTGCATTAATATTACATGCTATTTACTAGTGCTGTACTTTTGATGCATTCTCTACCACTTTAAGAATTTTTATTTCATTATTTTTAAAAATTTACTTTTAGTGCATACATACTGTCATTTCCTCTCTCTCTTCTTCTCTGTTTTCTCCCCACTCTCTCTCACAAACATAAACACAAACCGCCCATAAACATATTCAATATTTTTGACAAATGTAGAATTCAAATAGGTATACATGTATACGCTTATATTTACTATATGTGACTTTTGTACAATCGTATTTCACAGTCTACAAAGCAACATTGGCATACTTCCAAGCCAATTAAGTATTTTAGCTCTTAATTAAGTAAAAAGAAACAAGCTTATTTTGTCAAATAATAGCACATATTTTATATAATCTATAATTACATATTTTAGTAAGGTTTTCTTTACTTAAGAAATAAAGCATATGATGGAATTATACTTATCTATTTATTTGTATTATTTTCTGGGCTTGGAACATTTAGGATTTGATAAATATTAACGTAAGATCATTGAGGCACCTAACTGAAATTCGTAAGTATAAAAATGCGAATGCTATATACATAAATATGCCCTAACAGAATTAATCATTTTCTTAATTCCAATATGATAGACTTCTTGGTACTTTATTCTAGGCATTTCTTAGATGATTGATAAATGATGTTGATTAGTGCCACTTCTCCTGTGACCAACTACCATTTTTTAGCATCTACTATGTGAGAGATGCTAATCTAACTGTTCACAAAATAATTTCTAATTGTCAGACCAACTGTAAATGTGATAGTGTCCTTTTTATACAAATGTGGAGGACGATGTAGTTCAAGAGCAACAATCTTAATCTATATTCACAGAACTACCAAGTTAGTAAGCCAGGATTGTAATGCAAAGCTTTATGGCCCTAAAACCGTGCTATTTTAAAAATTGTCCTGCTACCAAAGGTTGATTTAATTTGACTTTTACTTTTAAATAATTTTATAATTCATCTGAAACCTGATCATAATCGCTCATCATTATCTCTTACCATGGACAAAATGCATTTTCAAAACTAGCCACAACCATATATAGTGTGCATTTGTGACTCATGTTGGCCAATGAGTATTACAAAGGTGAATGTGAAAAGTTCCATGCACAAATAAACACACTGAAAATTGTAATGAATAATAGTGATGTATATTTATATATAGAAAGAGATTCATAAATGCTATAAAGGAGAAATTAATTTTGACATGTATTCTGACAAGTTTTATAAGAGGTTTAGTTTACAGATGAGTGAAATTTCAACACATGGTGTGGTTACAAGAGAGGAAAAAGTAAAGACTTTAAGCAAAGACACTAAAGTTCGGAAACACTGAAAATGGCAAATCTGGTTGAAACACAGTTTTGCTTTGCAGCGGTTTTTATTGTAAGTTGTAATAGTAATACCACGATAAAACTCTAAACCCATCTTTTCTTCTTTCCTCCTTCTTCTGAAAATACTAAAGGTGATGACTACATATACTACTAAAATTATATATTCTGTAATATAAACCCGCTTTCATACATACCTTAGGTTATGTTTATAACTCCATAATACCTTAATATATAAAAATTACTTTACTGGCCTATTGACTATTGTTATGATTGAAACTACCTGAACTCTAAAACTAATTTTATTTGATTATTAGAAACTTTAAGAAAGAATTAAACTTGGCAAGAAATTAAACCTATTAAAGAATGTGTAAATATATAGATTATTTGTTAAATATTAACTACTACCTGCTATATGTTCTCTTAGCATTTTGTACCTGCCCTTAATATATAATGTATGCAACTCCAATTGTAATTATTTAATTTAAATTTTTGTTGCTCACCCAAAATATAATCTCCTTTATAACCACCATTCCACATGTTTCCTTTCTTTAGATTACTAGGCCCAAATATAATGCCCATCGTAGTTTTATCTCTTTAAAAGACATAAGATTGATGCATGTTTGGTAATGTCTTGTTACACTAAGAAAGAATAATGTTTTCTCTGAAAGCAGAAGTATTGCCATATTTCCTACAGAAATATAATCCACACATATATGACTCTGTACCAAATACATCTGATTTATGAAATATCTTACTTGCAGCTTTTAAATATGCAAAAAAATTTCAAAATGATGTTTTATAGGGTTATATTATTGTAAATAAATATGCACACCTCCTTTACATAAATGTCTACAGAAATATTTGAAAGCATTCTGTTTTGAAGAAAAAGACATCATTTACTACTGTTAAAATAAGTATAATAAGTTTAACACAATGGAAAATGTGAAGGAAACTAGTAAGTTTAAAGTATCACTAAGAGGCCAGGCTCGGTGGCTCACTTTATCTGACAATATAGGTTGTGATTTTTTCTTACTATTATGTTTAATATATCTTTATATGTATAATAGTTATACATACAGGTAGCACACACACAAACATACGTATATTTTTGTTTTAGACTAGGTACACAGAATTTAGATAATCATGCTTCTTAATTAAGTATATCATCAATATCAATTAATGTAAACCCATCTCATTTTCATCTTTCCCGAATTATTCATTTCCAGTCCCATTTTTTTCTCTCACTAAACGCACATACCCTAATGTGAATTTTGTTGCCTCATAACATTTTATAGATGTTTTTGTTTATACATGTTTATGCATATTTTACTTAAAATTTTCATAACTGTTATTACTCTTTAGATATCATTCTGTTTCTCACTTTTCTCTCTGAACTCTATGTCAGAAAACCTACATAGTTAATACAACTTATGTATATTTACATTTATAAATGTAATATTATTTCTCAGGATTTCCTAATTGAGCAAACAATTGGAGTAGAACCTTTTTTCTCCTGACATTTTAAACTACTGCCCCTAAGTTTAACTTCGGCTTCAGTCATACATTCCTTTGGTCCAAGATCACTTGTCATATTTCTCTTTCCTTTCCACTCTTTTTCTCTTCCCCAAATCCCTCATCCTTTTCTGTTTGTTTAGAGAACTCGCCTCCAAACATTACTTCTTTATTTGAGGCTGATTTTATCATTAATGAACTAAAAAGTGAAGCAAATTAAGTTTTAAATTGTACACACACACATCCCAACACACATACACACACACACACACATCCCAGTATACAGAATCAGAGTCTTAAAGAAAAGGCAGGTAGAGAATTGATCCAAGGACAGAATTTTGCCAAAATGACCCAGTGGTCTCCCTTGTTTTGCTCTGCACCAACCATGTTGCTACATCTTGAGACTGGATTCCCTTATAGGTGCAACAACAATTTGGGCTATGTTTCCCCACTCATACATCTGAACAAGAAAGGCTGTCTTCCTCAGGCTGTGTATTCATAGTAAGAAATATTTTCATAGTAAGAAGCCCCCTTTCCAGGGAGGCTCTGTCAAATTTGTCCTCAGGTTTAATTAATTAAATTTTCTTAGGCCTGCCTTTTTGTAAGCCAGTTACTGGTAAGAGGAAATAGGTTTTCCAGAATAAGACTAGATTGTTAAGAACCTACCAATTAGTTGAGAATGTGAGTAAAGCAAACACGTGGAATTGTGAGTCAATTAAACCTCTTTCCTTTATAAATTACCCAGTTTTAGGTATATCTTTATTAGCAGTATGAGAACTGACTAATACACTCACCTACTCTCCTCCCTCACTTTGTTATTCTATCAAAGGACAGATGAGATCACTGATACAGTCAACGTACTGTTCCATCTTTTGAGCAGAGAAGGTGAAGAATGCCTGGACAGGCAAAGGGGAATATCCACCATGGTTTTAGGAAAAGGTAAAAAATATGGGCTTTGCCTATCATACATTCTTAAAAATCCATTGTACTTTTTATTATGGGATACAATTTATGCTCTGCCTCCTATACAGAGTGTAATTCAAAACTGCAGAACATACAACATTAAGGCAGCATATGAATTATAAACTCAGAGTCATTTTTTCTGCTTTCCTTGGGTGACATTCCATCCTTGAGACAATGACAAATTAGATGAGGGAAGGGCTATAGAGCAGAAGGAAATTACCACAAACATAAAACATATTAGTTAATACATTAAAGTAACATCTCCTACTTTGGTAATAATTACTTCAATTTCTATGATAATATTTTCATTAATATTAAAATATTAATATTTTAATATTTTTATATTTATAGGTTTATTAAAATTGGCAGGAATTTTAATTTCATCTAATCTTTAATTTGGTAAATACAGTAGACTATAATTCTGCTATAAAATGGAATGAAGTTTTGATATATCTACAACGTCAATGAACCTTGAAAATATTATGCTAAGTGAAACAGCCAGACGTAACAGGACAACTATTGCATGCTTCTTCAAAACTGCCAAGCTCGTGAAAAATAAGGAAAAGCTGAGAAAATGATGATAGCCAGGCAGTGGTTACTGCAGGCCTTGGGCAAGATCCAGTGTTAGCTGACTTCAAGTCTAACGCAGCACAGTCACAGTGATGGTAGCCACAGGAGGGCTTCTGTCACCCCTCCTCCAACTCTAGGCAGCTCAGCATATATAAATAGATGTCTTTTGTAATGGAAAAAGTAAGGGAAGAATACAAGAGTCTATGCCTTATAATCCAGATAATTCTTCTGGATCTTATCCAAGACCACCAAGGCAGAACTTCTACTACTTCTACAAGTCTGTCTGCAACAGCCACAACATTACTGGGCTTGGGGTGTCCCCTAATATAGACATGGCTGCAGTGGACAAAACTTAGATCGCTATACCCAAGTTACTTTGAATATCTGGAAAGTTTTCTCAGGAAGGATGAGTACAAAAAAGCCCAGACTGCAAAGACTACAATAAACACCTAATTCTTTAATGCCCATGCACTGACAAACATCCACAAGCATCAAGACCAACCAGGAATACATGCACTGGCCAAATGAACTAAATAAGGGACCAATGATCAATAATGGAGCAATAAGGATATGTGACGAACTTTTACCCAGACTATCTACAAAAAGAAAAAAAAAAAGTGGGAAGACTAACATAATACAATCAAAGTTTTAAAAGGAGACATTACAAATGATACCACAGAAATGCAGATGATCACTAGTGGCTGCTATGAGCAACTATATGCCAATAGATTGGAAAACTGAGAAGAAATGGATAAATTCCTAGACACATACAACTTACCAAGATTGAACCATGAATAAATGAAAAAACCTCAGTAAGCCAATAACAAGTAAAGAGATTAAGGCCATAAAACTTCCCCCCCAAAAGAAAACCCAGATAATGATGTCTCACTGCTGTATTTTCCCAAACATTAAAAAAAAAACTACTGCTAATACTACTCAAACTATTCAAAAAAATAGAAGACAAGTGAATACTTCCAAACTAATACTACAAGGCAGGTATTACCTTAGTACAAAAACCAGATGAAGACACATCAAGAAAACTACAGGCCAATATCCATGACTACTACAGATGCAAAATTATTATCAAAATACTAGTAAAGTGAACCCAACAAAACATTTAAAAGATCATTCATTATGATCAAGTGGGATTAATCCCAGGGGTGCAAGGATAACTCATCATATGCAAATCAATCATTGTGATACATCATATCAATGGAATGAAAGACAAAAATAAATATATATGATCATTTAAATTGATGCTAAAAAGCATTTGATACAAGTCAACATTCCTCCATATAAAAACCCTCAAAAAACTGGTTATAGAAGGAACATATGTCAACATAATTAAAGCCATATATGACAGACACACAACTAATATCATACTGAATAGGGAAAAAATGCAAGCCTTTTCTCTAAGATCCGGAACAAGTAAGGATGCCCACCTTCACCACTATAATGCAACATATCACTGGAAGTCCTAGCTAGAGCAATCAGACAAGAGAAAGAAATAAAGGGCATCCAAATGGGAAAGGAATATGTAAAATTATCATTGTTTGAAGATTACATTATTTTATATTTTAAAAAAACTCAAAGACTCAACCAAAAAAGCTATTAGAAGTGATAGACAAATTCAATAAAGTTGTAGGACACAAAATCAATGTATAAAATCAGTAGCATTTTTATATGCCATCAGTGAAAAATCTAAAAACAAATCAAGAACATAATCCAATTTACAGTAGGTACAAATAAAATAAAAATACATAGGAATAAAGTTAATTAAATAAATGAAGGACTCCACATGAAAACTATAAAATGTTGATGAAGGAAGGGCAAAGAACACAAAAAATTAGAAATATAGTCCATGTTCATGAATTGGAAGAATCAATATTGTTAAAATTTCCATACAATCCAATGTAATCTACAGGTTCAGTGTAATGCCTGTCAAAGTTTCAATGTCATTCTTAAAAGAAATAGAAAAAAGAGTCCTAAAATTTATGTGGAACCACAAAAGATGCAGAGGCCAAATGTGTTCTGAACAAAAAAACAAAACTGGAGGACTCAAATGACCTGATTTCAAGTTATAGAACAGAGCTATAGTACCCCAAACAGCAAGGTATGGGCATAAAATCAGACAAATAGAGCAATGGAACAGAATAGAAAACCTAGAAACAAATCCAATCATCTACATTGAACTAATTTTTGACAAACGAGCCAAGAACACACATTGGTGGAAAGGCCAGTTTCTTCAATAAATGGTGCTGGGAAAATTGGATATCCTGAAGCAGAAGAATATAACTAGACCCATATGTCTTGCCATACACAAATTAAATCAAAATGCATTAAGGCCCTAAATATTAAGACCTGAAAGGGTGAAATGACTAAAATAAAACGTTGAGGAAACTCTCCAGAACATCAGACTGGGCCGAGAATTCTTGAGTAATACCACCAAAATACAGATAATCAAAGCAAAAATAGAGAAAAGGGATCATGTCAAGTTAAAAATCTTCTACATAGCAAAGAAAACAAAAAAGTTAAAACTCACAGAATGGGAGAAAATATTTGCAAAGTATCCACCAGACAATGGATTAATAAATCGAATATAAAAGGAAATCAAACAACTCTATAGGAAACAATTCTAGTAATCCAATTTTTTAAAATGGCAAAAGAGCTGAATAGACATTTCTTGAAAGAAGACATGAAAATGCTGAGCGGTTATATGAAAATGTCCTCTACATCACTGATCATCAGAAAAATGCAAATAAAATCTACAATAAGATACCATCTCCCACTTATGAATGAGAACATATGGTGTTTGGTTTTCTTTTCCTGTGTTAGTTTGCTGAGAATCATGGTTTCCAGCTTAATCCATGCCCCTACAAAGGACATGAACTCATCCTTTTTTATGGGTGCATAGTATTCCATGGAGCATATTTGCCAACTTTTCGTTATCCAGTCTATCATTGATGGGCATTTGGGTTGGTTCCAAGTTTTGCTATTGTGAACAGTAAACATATGTGTGCATGTCTTTTTATAGAAGAATGACTTATAATCCTTTGGATATATACCCAGTAATGGGATTGCTGGGTCAAATGGTATTTCTGGTTCTAGATCTTTGAGGAATTGCCATACTGTCTTCCACAATGGTCGAACTAATTTACACTCCCACCAACAGTGTAATGTGTTCCTATTCCTCTGCATCCTCTCCAGCATCTGTTGTTTTCTGACTTTTTAATAATTGCCATTCTAATTGGCGTGAGATGGTATGTCATTGTGGTTTTGATTTGCATTTCTCTGATGACCAGTGATGATAAGTTTTTTTTCATATGTTTGTTGGTGGCAAAAATGTCTTCTTTTGAAAAGTGTCTTTTCATATCCTTTGCCCACTTTTTGATGGGGTTGCTTTTTTCTTGTAAATATAAATTTGTTAAGGTATTTATACATTCTGGATATTAGCCCGTTGTTAGATGGATAGATTGCAAAAATTTTCTCCCATTCTGTAGGTTGCCTGTTCACTCTGATGATAGTTTCTTTTGCTGTGCAGAAGCTGTTTAGTATAATTAGATCCCATTTGTCAATTTTGCCTTTTGTTGCCACTGCTTTTGGTGTTTTAGTCATGAAATCTTTGCCCATGCCTATGTCCGGTATTGCCTAGGTTTTCTTCTAGGGTTTTTATGGTTTTAGGGTTTTTTTTTTTTTTTTTTTTTTTTTTGAGACGGAGTCTCACTCTGTCGCCCAGGCTGGAGTGCAGTGGCATGATCTCAGCTACATTGCCTTGGTTTTGCAGAGAAGGGAAAAACACCCTTCTCTGCCCCTGCTGGTCTCCCACTGGATTGTGTGCTTCCCAAGTCCACTGGCTCTGCGCCTAGCCCAGCAATATAACTTGCCCAGGAATTGCAGTCCTTGTGGCCTAGAGTGCCTTTCATGTTTGCTTGGGACCCCAGACCAGTTTAGTCCATGGTGGAGAGGCTTACCAGAACTCAGGTTCTGACAACTGGGATGGGCAATTCCCAGTGGCTAGGGTTGGTCTAAATACTCCTTCCATAGGCATGAGCTGAGTATTGCATCATGTGGCTTTCCACTAGGACAGAGCAGCACTGAGTTCCAATACAATGTCCCACAGTAACTGCACTTTCCCTCCCCCAAGAACGCATATTATCTTTCCGTTTCAGGATGCCAGTGTTGGGGGCTGGGGGAGGGGTGGCATGAACAATTCAAGGTTTTATTTCCTATTCTCTTCAGTGCCTTTTTCAGTAATATGAACTTAATACCAGGTACTTTGATTGTTTACCTGACTTTCAGTTCTTATGAAGGTGCTTTTTTTTTTTTTTTTTTTTTTTTTGAGACGGAGTCTCACTCTGTGGCCCAGGCTGGAGTGCAGTGGCGCAATCTCGGCTCACTGCAAGCTCCGCCTCCTGGGTTCACGCCGTTCTCCTGCTTCAGTCTCACGAGTAGCTGGGACTACAGGCGCCTGCCACCACGCCCAGCTAATTTTTTGGGTTTTTTTCTATTTTTAGTAGAGACGGGGTTTCACCGTGTTAGACAGGATGGCCTCGATCTCCTGACCTCGTGATCTGCCCGCCTCAGCCTTCCAAAGTGCTGGGATTACAGGCGTGAGCCACCTCGCCCGGCCTCATGAAGGTGTTTTTTAATGTGGAGAGTTGTTCAATTTGGTGTTCTTGAGGGGACAATGATCAGTGGAGGCTTCTATTCAGCCATCTTTCTCCACCTATCTATGCTGACATTTTATGATGCTCAATAAATTTTTCATGACTGAGAGTCATAAGCTTCTTGGAGATGGTAGTGCAGGCTTTTAGTATGTTTTTTACGTGGTAACCATTGTAAAACATTCTTATGATTAGGTTACCAACCAAGACAGATTACCATGTGTCTCTGATTTTGGTATACTTGTATTAAAAGGTTAAATTGAAAGATATTGTAGAGAGGAGAATCATAGAATATTTACCAGGAATTGTGCACACCCATCTACATGTGCTGAGCTGAATTAGGAGATATTCCTGGTATTCTTCAATACATTTTAATACCCTCAATCATGACATTTAATTTCAGATATCACATCTTTATTTTTATGTTATTTTTCCCCATTTTTTATGGCTTTCCTCTCAATGTTGCCCATTTTTAACAATTCTAAGTAGTGAAATCCTGCTGTGGAAGAAACATTTTCCATAAGTCTATGATTATTTTTGTATTTTCATGTTTATGGCTGGGAATTCATAAGGCATACTATTTTTAAAAGTGTAGGTGGATATGTTTACCTTGTTTTGTGGTCAATGTTGCTCAAAATAATTTGTATATTAACTGATAGTTGTATAAAGATTTCATAATAATGCTGTAGTGTAAATAAAATTTATTCCAAATAATGTTAAGATTTATATGAACAAATTATCCAGTATTTTTCTATGACAACTATTTTTTTCCCTTTATTTCTTCTAAAAAAAAAAAGCAGGATACATATGCAGAACGTTCAGGTTCGTTACATAGGTATATATGTGCCACGGTGGTTTGCTAAACCTATTGATCTGTTCTCTAAATTCCCTCCCCTAACTCTCCACCCCACAACAGGCCCTGGTGTGTGTTGTTTCCCTTTCTGTGTCCATGTGTTCTCAATGTTATGCTCCCACTTATGAGTGAGAACATGCAGTGTTTGGTTTTCTGTTCCTGTGTTAGTTTGCGAAGGATAGTGGCTTTCAGCTTCATCCATGTCCCTGCAAAGGACATGATCTCATTCATTTTTATGGCCACATAGTATTCCATGGTGTATATGTACCACATTTTCTTTATGCAGTCTACCATTGATGGGCATTTTGGTTGGTTCCATGTCTTTGCTATTGTAAATAGTGCTGCAATAAACATACGTGTGCATGTGTCTTTATAAAAGAATGATTCATATTCCTTTGGGTATATACCCAGCACAGTAATAGAATTGCTGGGTCAAATGGTATTTCTGCTTTTAGATCCTTGAGGAATCACCATACTGTCTTCCACAATGGTTGAACTAATTTATACTCCCACCAAAAGTGTAAAAGCATTCCTATTTCTCCGCAGCCTTGCTGGCATCTATTTTTTCTGACTTTTTAATAATAGCCAGTCTGACTGGCATGAGATGGTATCTCATTGTGGTTTTGATTTGCATTTCTCTGATGATCAGTGATGTTGAGCTTCTTTTCACCTTTGTTGGCCACAAAAATGTCTTGAGAAGTGTCTGTTCATATCCTTTGCCCACTTTTTGATGGGGTTGTTTGTTTTTTCTTGTGGTATGTTTAAGTTCCTTGTAAATTCTGTATATTAGAACTTTGTCAGATGGGTAAATTGCAAAAATTTTCTCCCATTCTGTAGGTTGCCTGTTCACACTGATGATAGTTTCACCTGCTGCGTAGAAGGTCTTTAATTAGATCTCATTTTTCAATTTTGGCTTTTATTGGAATTGCTTTTGGCATTTTTGTCATGAAGTCTACCCATGCCTATGTCCTGAATGGTATTGCTTAGGTTT
This sequence comes from Homo sapiens, assembly GCF_000001405.40. NCBI lineage: Eukaryota > Metazoa > Chordata > Mammalia > Primates > Hominidae > Homo > Homo sapiens. The sequence goes on along the minus strand of NC_000003.12, from coordinate 166,515,811 downwards.
TCTCCTAGGTTTTTTATGGTTTTGGGTTTTACAATTAAGTGTTTAATCCATCTTGAGTTAATTTTTGTGTCGGTGTAAGGAAGGGGTCCAGTTTTAGTTTTCTGCATATGGCTAGCCAGTTTTCCCAGCACAATTTACTGAATAGGAGATCCTTTCCCCATTGCTTGTTTTTGTCAGGTTTGTTGACGATCAGATGGGTGTAGATGTGTGGTGTTATTTCTGAGGTTTCTGTTCTGCTCTATTGGACAATATATCTGTTTTAGTCCCAGTACCATGTTATTTTTGTTACTGTAACTTTGTAGTGCAGTTTGAATTAAGGTAGCTTAATACCTCCAGCTTTGTTCTTTTTGCTTAGGTTTGTCTTGGCTATTCAAAGTCTTCCTAGATTTCATGAAATTTAAAACAGATTTTCTAATTCTGTGAAAAATGTCAATGGAATTTGATGGAAATAGCATTGAATCTATAAATTACTTTGGGCAGTGTGGCCATTTTCATTATATTGATTCTTCCTATCCATGAGGATGTAATGTTTTATCATTTGTTTGTGTCCTCTCTTATTTCCTTGAGCAGTGGTTTGTAGTTCTCCTTGAAGAGGTACTTCACAACCCTTGTTAGCTGTATTCCTAGGTATTTTATTCTCCTTGCAGTGATTGTGAATGGGAGTTCATTCATGATTTGGCTCTCTGCTTGTCTGTTGTCAGTGTAAAGGAATGCATGTGATTTTTGCACATTGATTTTGTATCCTGAGACTTCTGAAATTGCTTATTGGTTCAAGAAGTTTTGGGGCTGAGATGATGGGGTTTTCTAAATATAAAATCATATCCTCTGCCAACAGAGACAGCTTGACTTTCTCTCTTCCTATTTGAATACAATTTATTTCTTTCTTTTGACTGATTGCCCTGGCCAGAAATTCCAAAACTATATTGAATAGGAGTGGTGAGAGAGGTCATCCTTCTCTTGTACCAGTTTTCAGAGGGAATGCTTCCAGATTTTGTCCATTCAATATGATATTGGCTGTGGGTTTGTCATAAATAGCTCTTATTATTTTGAGATATGTTCCATCAATACCTAGTTTACTGAGAGTTTTTAACATAAAGGGATATTAAATTTTATCAGACGTGTTTTCTCCGTTTCTTGAGATACTCATGTGGTTTTTGTCTTTGGTTTTGTTTATGTGACGGATTATGTTTATTGATTTACTAATGTTGAACCAGCCTTGCATCCCTGGGATGAAGCTGACTTGATCACGGTGGATAAGTTTTTTGATGTGGTGATGGATTCAGTTTGCCAGTATGTTACTGAGAATGTGTGCATCATTGTTCATCATGGATATTGGCCTCAAGTTTTCTTTTTTTGTTCTATCTCTTCCTGGTTTTGGTATCAGGATGATGCTGGCTTCATAAAATGGGTTAGGGAAGAGTCCCTCCTTTTCAATTGTTTTAAATAGTTTCAGAAAGAATGGTACCAGCTCCTCTTTGTATTTCTCGTAGAATCCACCTGTAAATCCATCTGGTCCTGGGTTTTTTCTTTTGATTGGTAGGCTATTAATTACTGCCTCAATTTTATAGCTTGTTATTGATTTATTCAAGGGTTCAACTTCTTCCTGGTTGATGCAACCCTTGATAGGGTGCATGCATCCAGGAATTTAACCATTTCTTCTAGATTTTCTAGTTTATTTGCATAGAGGTATTTATAATAGTCTCTGATGGTAGTTTGTATTTCTGTGGGATCTGTGGTGATATCTCGTTTTTCATTTTTTATTATGTCTATTTGATTTTTCTCTCTTCTTCTTTATTAGTCTAGCTAGTAATCTATCTATTTTGTTAAATTTTTTAAAAAAACAGCTTCCAGCCGGGTGCGGTGGCTCAAACCTGTAATCCCAGCACGTTGGGAGGCTGAGGCGGGCGGATCACAAGGTCAGGAGATTGAGACCACGGTGAAACCTCATCTCTACTAAAAATACAAAAAATTAGCTGGGCGCAGTGGCGGGTGCCTGTAGTCCCAGCTACTCAGGAGGCTGAGGCAGGAGAATGGTGTGAACCCAGGAGGCGGAGCTTGCAGTGAGCTGAGATGGCGCCACTGCACTCCAGCCTGGGTGACAGAGCGAGACTCCATCTCAAAAAAAAAAAAAAAAACTGCTTCCGAATGTGTTAATTTTTTGGAGGTTTTTCATGTCTCTATCTCTTTCAATTCTTCTCTGATCTTACTTATTTCTTATCTGCTAACTTTTGGATTAGTTTGCTCTTGCCTCTCTAGCCCTTTTTATTGTCATGGTAGTGTGTCAATTTGAGATTTTTTCAGCTTTCTGATGTGGGTATTTAGTGCTATAAATTTCCCTCTTAACACTGCTTTATCTGTGTCCCAGAGATTCTGGTATGTTGTCTCTTTGTTCCCATTGGTTTCAAAGACCTTCTTGATTTCGGCTTTAGTTTCATTATTTACCCAGGAGTCATTCAGGATCAGGTTGTTCAATTTCCATGAAATTGTGTGGTTTTGAGTGAGTTTCGTAACCCTGAGTTCTAATTTGATTGCACTGTATTCTGAGGGGCTGTTTGTTATTATTTCAGTTCCTTTGCATTTGCTGAGGAGTGTTTTACTCCCAATTATGTGGTCAATTTTAGAATAAGTGCCATGTGGCCCTGAGAAGAATGTATACTCTGTTGATTTGGCATAAAGAGTTCTGTAGAAGTCTACTAGGTCCACTTGATCCAGAGTTGAGTACAAGTCCTGAATAACCTTGTTAATTTTCTGTCTTGCTGATCTGTCTAATACTGACAGTGGGGTGTTAAAGTCTCCCACAACTATCGTGTGGGAGTCTAAGTCTCTTTATAGGTCTGTAATAACTTGTTTCATGAATCTGGGTTCTCCTGTATTGGGTTCATATATATTCAGAATAGTTAGCTCTTCTCGTCAAATTACAATTACATTATGCCCTTCTTTGTCTTTTTTGATCATTGTTGGTTTAAAGTCTGTTTTGTCAGGGACTACAATTGCAACCCCTCCTCTTTTTTTGCTTTCCATTTGCTTTTCCTCCATTTTTTTAATTTTAGCCTGTGTGTGTCTTTGCATGTAAGATGGTTCTCCTGAATGCAGCACACCAATGGATCTTGACTCTATTCAATTTGCCAGTCTGTGTCTTTTAATTGGGGCATTTAGCCCATTTACATTTAAGGTTAATATTGTTACGTGTGAATCTGATTCTGTCATCATGATGCTATTTGGTCATTTTGCACCCTAGTTGATGCAGTTTTGTGTAGTGTCATTTGGTCTTTATATTTTGGTGTGTTATTGCAGTGGCTAGTACCAGTTTTCCTTTCCATATTTAGTTATTCTTTCAGGAGCTCTTGCAGGGCAGGCCTGGTGGTCACAAAATCCCTCAGCATTTACTTATCTGGAAAGGATTTTATTTCTCCTTTGCTTGTGAAGCTGAGTTTGCCTGGAAAGGAAATTCTGGGTCAAAAATTATTTTCTTTAAAAATATTGAGTGTTGTCCCCAGTCTCTCCTGGCTTATAAAGTTTCTGCTGAGAGGTCCACTGTTAGTCTTATGGGCTTCCCTTTATAGGTGACCTGGCCTTTTTCTCTGGCTGCCCTTAACAGTCTTTCCTTCAGTTCAACCTTGGAGAATCTTATGATTATGTGTCTTGGGGTTGATCTTCTCATGGAGTATCTTAATGGTGTTCTCTGTATTTCCTGAATTTGCATGTTGACTTGTCTTGCTAGGCTGGGGAAGTTTTCCTGGATAATATTCTGACCTATGTTTTCCAACTTGTTTCTATTCTCCCTGTCTCCTTCTAGTATTCCAATTAATCATAGGTTTAGTACTTTTTATGAAGTCTCATATTTCTTGGAGGCTTTGTTCATTCCTTTTTATTCTTTTTTCTCTGTTCTTGTCTGCAAGTCTTATTTCAGTAAGGTGGTCTTCAAACTCTGATGTCCTTTCTTCCACTTGGTCGATTTGGCTATTGATGCTTGTGTATGCTTTGCGAAGTTCTCATGCTGTGTTTTTCTGCTCCATCCAGTCGTTTATGTTTCACTCTTCATTGGTTATTCTAGTTAGCAATTAGTCTAACATTTTATCAAGGCTCTTAGCTTATTTGTATTGGGTTGGAACATGCTCCTTTAGCTCAGCATAGTTTTCTATTACCCATCTTCTGAAGCCTACTTCTGTCAAGTCGTCCATCTGATCCTCTGTCCAGTTCTGCATCCTTGATGGACAGACACTGTAATCCTGTAATCATTTGGAGGAGAAGAGGCACTCTGGCCTTTTGGGTTTTCAGCATTTTTTGTTGATTCTTTCTCATCTTCGTGAGTTTGTCTAGTTTTGGTCTTTGAGGTTGCTGACCCTTGGATGGGGCTTTTGTGGGGGCCTTTATTGTTGTTGTTGTTGTTGTTGTTGATGACGCTGTTGTCACTTTCTGCTTGTTTGTTTTTCTTTCAATAATCAGATTCCTCTTCTGTAGGGCTGCTACAGTTTTCTGGGGGTTCACTTCAGGCCCCATTCTCTGATTTGCTCTTGTGCCTGAAGGTGTCACTCAAGGAGGCTGGAAAGCAGCAAAAATGAGTGCTTCCTCCTTCTTATGGGACCTCTGACTTCAAGGGTCACCAACCTGATGTCAGTAGGATCACTCCTGTATAGGGTGTGTGAGAATCCCTATTGGAGGGTCTTACCCAGTTGGGTGGCACAGGGAGCATGGCCTATTTAATGAAGCACTTTGTCCCTTGGTGGAGAAGGTGTGTTTCACTGTGAGGAAACCCACTCATCTGGGCTGCCCAGATTCCTCAGAACTACCAGGAGGAGAGGCTACGTCTGCTGGTCCACAGAGACTGCGGCCACCCCTCCCGCTAGGGGCTGAGACCCAGGGAGATCTGAATTCTGTCCCTGAACCTCTGGAGCTATTGGAGATCCTGCAGCAGGAAGCCCTACCCACTGAGGAAGGATGGGTCAAGGTTAGACCTGAAGAGGCACTCTGGCTGCAGACTGCCACAGTGGGTGTGTTGGGCTGTGGGAACAAGGCTTGGGACCAAGCCATCCAGCCTCCCTGACTCCAGCAGGGGGAAAAGCACAGTCTGGAGCTATACAAAATGGGTACTGCCCTTCCCCCTACCCGGGGAGCATACAAAATGGTACTGCCCTTCCCCTTACCCCTTAACCTGTTAGGCAGTTGAAATTCCCAGTGCTGGCTGCTGCCACGCCCACAAGGAGCTCAAATGGCTTAGACAGCAGGCAGCTGCAGCAGTTGCTCGTTGCCCCTCCCCCTAGGAGTTTGGTAGGCTTAAGCAGGTTCCAGCTAAAAGGCTGTAAGAATCTGCATGTTCTGGGGTTGGGACTCTAGGCCCTGGTGGCATGGGCTTGTGAGTGGGATCTTTCCATCCGTGTGGGTTGCACAGTTTCCCCAGCTGGGTATCACACTCACTCACCACCTCCCTTCGCTGAGAGGAAGGGGTTTCCCTTCCCCATGTGGCTCTCAGGTGGGTCACACCACACTGCTCTTCCTTCTCTCTGTGGGTCATGCCAGCTTTCATGTCAGTTTTGACGACAGAACCTGGATACCTTGGTTGCTAGTGAAAGGTTCACATGCTTATTATGGTTTTTGTCGAAGGGAGCCTCCGAATCCTGCTGCTTCTAGTCAGCCATCTTCTATGACAACTATTATACGTAACATTTACTGGGCTTCTGGAATGTACTGAAGAATTGAAATAATGTAAATTATATATAATGTATGGTAGAGCTATTCAGAGTGTAGAATGTAAAATGTAAAGATACTCAAATTGTGATATATGAGGCAGCCAAAGTTTGATATATTAAGTATTGTGACCTGTTTTTACTTAGGAAATATTTGTAACATCCTATGCTCACTTCTCTCCCATATAGCATCACTCCCCAGAACAAAAAGAGTAAGATGGTTGGCCTTAACATTTTGTAAGCTAAGGTCCAGGCATACGTAAGAGAAAATATTGAATCAATAAGTGGTGACAGAGTTAGTTTTCCTTACCTTTGAATAATAGCTCAAATTAGTTTGACTGAGAGAAAGGACAATATAATATAACAAGATCAATAGAGAAGTCACCAGTGTATATATATCTGAATAAAGGGTCTGTGAATTGCAGGGCCCTCTGGAATGAGGTTAAAAGGCCCACAATTCTACACTAAGGAGGTCAGATTAATACCATAAAAAATGGCAAGTCACTGTAAAATATTAAATATGGTAGTAACAGGTTTAAATTTGCATTTTACAATAATAAATATTACTGAAGCATGAAAAATAGAGGAGGACTTGGTTAAAACTAGGGATAGTTAGTAGTCTATCATAAAATCATCAGGAGAAATGGAAGCTTAATAATAAATAAGCAATAAGGAAAGAAAAAAATAAAATGCAGAGTGATTTTTCCAGATTACTTGAGAGGGCTTCATAAAAATAATAGTAGCTAGTATTTATACAGTAGTTTCAATATACCAAGCAATGTGCTAAGCAATGGAGGATAGTACATGTTTAACAACCAGCTCTCCGGGGACACACAGTGTATGTGGAGCAGAATACCTGATTTATAGTTTGTCAAATTTAGTTGTGGAAATACACCTAGTGTGGTCAATGTAAACCTCCCAATGTATTTCCACTCAATGAAAGTTGAGCAGCGATGTGAACAACCTTATCTCACAAGCTGGTATGAGGTGGCTCTAGTATACCACTAGAAGCTTTTTTAGAAGTGTTAATTTTATATCATCAAAAATGTGCCCTTGTAAGCTAGGGTTTCTTAACCTTGACACTAGGACTTTTTGTCAGCTTATTAATGAACGATTGACAAAAATTGTATATATTTAAGGTGTACAACTTTGTGTTTTGATATATGTATACATAAGAAAACGATCACCACATTTAAGCTAATTAACCTATCATCAGCTCATATCATTGTTTTGTTATTGTTGAATGTGCTCAATCTCCTCTAATCTCAGAAGCTAACTGGGCTTTTTTATGCTTGAATGAGACATTATTTATGCTTTGAACCAGATAATTATTTGTGGGGGTCTTATATAAGTGGTAGAATGTTTATCAGCAGAATCTCTAGCCTCTACCCACTATTTAGCAGTAGCATTCCCCATCTCAAGCCCCAAACCATTATGACAACCAAAATATCTCCAGTCATTGTCAAATATTTTCTGGGGAACAGGATTACCCCCATTTGATGGCTACTACTTAAAGATACACCGTATAATTTTCCCATTTTCTCGTTTTTATCTTCTTCTTCTTCATTTTATTCATCTTTTATTTTCTTTTTCATTTTTGCAAATAAAGAAACCAAAGTTTTGAAAAGCTACAGTTACTGATTTGATATATAAACACAGATAGTCTACCTCCAGAGTAAGTAGATAAAAGAGGTATGTATATGAATATAGTTGATATATAAACACAGTCTACCTCCAGAGTAAGTAGATAGATAGAAGAGGTACGTTTATGAATATAGATTAGTGATATACATATATAGACATTAATTGTCATATTATTAGTGTGAAGAATATTATTATTGTGTAGAAACTGAAGTTTTGAAAAGTTACAGAGTTACTAATTTGATATGTAAACACAGATAGTCTACCTCCAGAGTAAGTAGACAGATAAAAGGGATATGTGTATGAATATGGATTAGACATCGATACAGATATATAGTCATTAATTCTCCATATTATTATTATTGAGTGACAACCTGTCATGAATCAAATGGCTCTTATCCTGATGCTCATTTTGCATAGACAGTGACTTTTTCTCCTTCTCTACAAATTTGAGGAATCATAGAATTCTATATGTAGAATTTAACCAGCAGGACCTTGCTACAACTACATCACTAATGTTATAAGAAAATTACAGTTGCATTATTTAAAAAAATCTGTTACTACTAAAAAGGTTACTTATCTAAAAGTTAATACTCCTAGTTTATCAGAAGAATAGAAAGAAGTAGAAGGAGAAAGGTAATAGAAGAAAAGAGAGAAAAAATAATTCGGGAAACTTTATTTAAATATTACAATTTTTCAAAATTTTCAAATACTTTCAATGTATATTTAGAAGTTAGAAAAAACATCATCATAATTCTTAAGAAGCATAAGCTTGAGCATGGGGATCAACTCACCAAATTATTCTACAACATGAGCCATATGGTTTGTCTGCCAAAAAATAGAAAAAGCCTAAAAGAATTTTACTAGAAATAACTTTGTTTTATATGCTCCTTTTTATTAAATAAATCTATTGTACATTGGTTGATAAACATGATTATATATAATGTTCTCTGATTTCCACAATGAAGTTAGAGAGAAGGTTGACTGAAAACAAAAATACCAAGTTCTTCTGCAAACAATATTGTAAGGAGTTGCCCTTGAAGGCAGGTATTCAGTTTTTTTCCTCCCATGTACTGATATTATCTCCATCAAATTTAACATTTCAGACACTCTTTGAAGTGTTAGGTTTGTTTATGAATGTTTGAATTTTAAAAATTTAGCTCATTTTAAGAAGAAGAAATGAAATTATATTTTGGATAGCTTTTTCTATCTCCCTAAGATTTCATGCTTAAACACTGCACTATTTCAATCTTAGCAGTTAGACAAAATAGAATTTTTAAACTCAATTCTTAAAGTAATTCACTCACTATTCTTATTCAACAAAACACTGAAAGCCTTGGCCAGAGTAATCAGGCAAGAGAAAAAAATAGAAAACATCTAATTAGGAAGAAAGGAAGTCAAACTATCCCTGTCAGCAGATGACATGATTCTATACCTAGAAAATCTCACAGTATCTGCCCCAAAGCTCCCTTATCTGATAAGCAACTTCAGCAAAGTTTCAGGATACAGAATCAATACACAAAAATCAGTAGCCCTCCCCTACAGCAACAACATTCAAACTGAGAGCCAAAGCAAGAACACAATTCCATTCATAGTAGCCACAAAAAGAATAAAATCCCTAGGAATACAGCTAACAGTGGAGATGAAAGATCTCTACAATGCTAATTACAAAACGCTACTTAAAGAAATAGAGAGGACACAAACAAATGGAAAAACATTCCATGCTCACGTATAGAAAGAATCAGTATTGTTAAAATGGCCATACTGCTCAAAGCGATTTACAGATTCAATCAAACTAAATTGAATATTCAGTTTGGTATTCCTATCAAACTACCAATGACATTTTTTACAGAACTACAACAAAAACTATTTTAAAATTCATATGGAACCAAAATTTTAAAAAAAGAATGAATAGCCGTGACAATCCTAAGCAAAAAGAAAAAGACACATTATCTGACTTCAAACTACACTACAAAGTTACAGTGACCAAAACAGCATGGTACTAGTGCAAACACAGACACATAGACCAAGGGAACAGAGTAGAGAACTCAGAAATAATAATGCTGCATGTCAGGCCTCTCAGCCCAAGCTAAGCCATCATATCCCCTGTGACCTGCATGTACACATCCAGATGGCCAGTTCCTGCCTTAACTGATGACATTCCACCACAAAAGAAATGAAAATGGCCTGTTCCTGCCTTAACTGATGGCATTATCTTGTGAAATTCCTTCTCCTGGCTCATCCTGGCTCAAAAGCTCCCCTACTAAGCACCTTGTGACCCCCACTCCTGCCTGCCAGAGAACTACCCCCCTTTCCTTTACCTACCCAAATCCTATAGAATGGCTCCACCCCGTCTCCCTTCGCTGACTCTCTTTTTGGACTCAGCCCACCTGCACCCAGGTGAAATAAACAGCCTTGTTGCTCACACAAAGCTTGTTTGGTGGTCTTTTCACATGGATGTGAGTGAAATTTGGTGCCATGACTCAGATCGGGCAAGCTCCCTTAGGAGATCAATCCCCTGTCCTCCTGCTCTTTGCTCCGTGAGAGAGAGCCACCTATGACTTCTGGTCCTCAGACCAAGCAGCCCAAGCAAGATCTCACCAATTTTAAATCTGGTAAGCAGCCTCTTTTTACTCTCTTCTCCAACCTCCCTCACTATCCCTCAACCTCTATCTCCTTTCAATCTTGGTGCCACACTTCAATCTCTCCCTTCTCTTAATTTCAATTCCTTTCATTTTCTGGTAGAGACAAAGGAGGCACATTTTATCCGTGGACCCAAAACTCTGGCGCTGGTCATGGACTAGGGAAGGCAGCCTTCCCTTGGTGTTTAATCATTGCAGGGACACCTCTCTGATTATTCACCCAGGTTTCAGAGGTGTCAGACCACGCAGGGACGCCTGTCTTGGTCCTTCACCCTTAGCGGCAAGTCCTGCTTTTCTGGGGGAGGGGCAAGAACCCTTCAACACCTTCTCTTTCACCCTTAGTGGCAAGTCCCGCTTTTCTGGAGGAGGGGCAGGAATCCCGACCTAATATCTCTGCACCCCGATCCCTTATTTCCATGCCCCAACCTCTTATCTCTGTGCCCCAACCCCATATTTCCACGCCCTGACCCCTTCTCTGCTTTTCTGGAGGGCAAGAACCCCCCACCCCTTCTCTGTGTCTCTACTCTCTTTTCTCTGGGCTTGCCTCCTTCACTATGCACAAGCTTCCACCTTCCATTCCTCCTTCTTCTCCCTTAGCCTGTGTTCTTAAGAACTTAAAACCTCTTCAATTCTCACCTGACCTAAAATCTAAGCATCTTATTTTCTTTTGCAATGCCGCTTGACCCCAATACAAACTCGACAGTAGTTCCAAATAGCCGGAAAATGGCACTTTCAATTTTTCCATCCTACAAGATCTAAATAATTCTTGTCAAAAAATGGCCAAATGGTCTGAGGTGCCTGACATCCAGGCATTCTTTTATACATCGGTCCCTCCCTAGTCTCTGTTCCCAATGCAACTCGTCCCAAATCTTCCTTCTTTCCCTCCCACCTGTCTCCTCAGTCCCAACCCCAAGCATCACTGAGTCTTTCTAATCTTCCTTTTCTACAGACCCATCTGACCTCTCCCCTCCTCCCCAGGCTGCTCCTCACCAGGCTGAGCTAGGTCCCAATTCTTCCTCAGCCTCCACTCCTCCACCCTATAATCCTTTTATCACCTCCCCTCCTCACACCAGGTCTGGCTTACAGTTTCATTCCCTGACTGGCCCTCCCCAACCTGCCCAGCAATTTACTCTTAAAAAGTTGGCTGGAGTTAAAGGCATAGTCAAAGTTAGTGGTCCTTTTTCTTTATCCCAAATCAGATAGCATTTAGGCTCTTTTTCATCAAATATAAAAATCCAGCCCAGTTCATGACTCGTTTGGCAGCAACCCTGAGATGCTTTACAGCCCTAGACCCTAAAAGGTCAAAAGGCCGTCTTATTCTCAATATACATTTTATTACCCAATCTGCTCCCGATATTAAATAAAACTCCAAAAATTAAATTCCAGCCCTCAAACCCCACAACAGGACTTAATTAACCTCGCCTTCAAGGTGTACAATAATAGAGTAGAGGCAGCCAAGTAGCAACATATTTCTGAGTTGCAATTCCTTGCCTCCACTGTGAGACAAACCCCAGCCACATCTCCAGCACACAAGAACTTCCAAACACCTAAACCGCAGTGGCCAGGTGTTCCTCCAGAACCTCCTCCCCCAGGAGCTTGCTACAAGTGCCAGAAATCTGGCCACCAAGCCAAGGAATGCCTGCAGCCCGGGATTCCTCCTAAGCTGTGTCCCATCTGTGGGGGACCCCAGTGGAAATCAGACTGTTCAACTCACCTGGCAGCCACTCCCAGAGCCCCTGGAACTCTGGCCCAAGGCTCTCTGCTGACTCCTTCCCAGATCTTCTTGGCTTAGCGGCTGAAGACTGACACTGCCCGATTGCCTCGGAAGCCCTGTAGACCATCACGGACGCCGAGCTTTAGGTAACTCTCACGGTGGAGGGTAAGTCCGTCCCCTTCTGAATCAATACGGAGGCTACCTACTCCACATTACTTTCTTTTCAAGGGCCTGTTTCCCTTGCCTCCATAACTGTTGTGGGTATTGACAGCCAGGCTGCTAAACCTCCTAAAACTCCCCAAATCTGGTGTCAACTTAGACAATACTCTTTTAAGCACTCCTTTTTAGTTATCCCCACCTGCCCAGTTTCCTTATTAGGCTGAGACACTTTAACTAAATTATCTGCTTCCCTGACTATTCCTGGAGTACAGCTACATCTCATTGCCGCCCTTCTTCCCAATCCAAAGCCTCCTTTGCTTCCTCCTCTTGCATCCCCCCACCTTAACCCACAAGTATAAGATATCTCTACTCCCTCCTTGGTGACCAATCATGCACCCCTTACCATCTCATTAAAACCTAATCACCCTTGCCCTGCTTAATGCCAATATCGCATCCCACAGCATGCTTTGAAAGGATTAAAGCCTGTTATCACTCGCCTGCTACAGCGTGGCCTTTTAAAGCCTATAAACTCTCCTTACAATTCCCCCATTTTACCTGTCCTAAAACCAGACAAGCCTTACAAGTTAGTTCAGGATCTATGCCTTATCAACCAAATTGTTTTGCCTATCCACCCCATGGTGCTAAACCCATATACTCTCCTATACTTGATAACTCCCTCCACAATCCATTATTCTGTTCTGGATCTGAAACATGCTTTCTTTACTATTCCTTTGCACCCTTCATCCCAGCCTCTCTTTGCTTTCACCTGGACTGACCCTGACACCCATCAAGCTCAGCAAATTACCTAGGCTTTACTGCTGCAAAGCTTCACAGATAGCCCCCATTACTTCAGTCAAGCCCAAATTTCTTCCTCATCTGTTACCTATCTCAGCATAATTCTCAGAAAAACACATGCACTCTCCCTGCTGATCGTGTCCAGCTAATCTCCCAAACCCCAATCCCTTCTACAAAACAACAACTCCTTTCCTTCCTGGGCATGGTTGGATACTTTCACGTTTGGATACCTGGTTTTGCCATCCTAACAAAACCATTATATAAACTCACAAAAGGAAACCTAGCTGACCCCATAGATCCTAAATCCTTTCCCCACTCCTCTTTCCATTCCTTGAAGACAGCTTTAGAGGCTGCCCCCATCCTAGCTCTCCCTGACTCATCCCAACCCTTTTCATTACACACAGCCGAAGGGCAGGGCTGTGAAGTCGGAATTCTTACACAAGGACCGGGATCACGTCCTGTAGCCTTTTTGTCCAAATAACTTGACCTTACTGTTTTAGGCTGGCCATCATGTCTCCATGCAGCGGCTGCTGCCGCCCTAATACTTTTAGAGGCCCTTAAAATCACAAAATATGCTCAACTCACTCTCTACAGCTCTCATAATTTCCGAAATCTATTTTCTTCCTCACACCTGACACGTATACTTTCTGCTCCCTGGCTCCTTCAGCTGTACTCACTCTTTGTTGAGTCTCCCACAATTACCATTGTTCCTGGCTCGGACTTCAATGTGGCCTCTCACATTATTCCTGATACCACACTTGACCCTCATGACTGCATCTCTCTGATCCACCTGACGTTCACCCCATTTCCCCACATTTCCTTCTTCCCTGTTTCTCACCCTGATCACACCTGGTTTATTGATGGCAGTTCCACCAGGCCTAATCGCCACATGCCAGCAAAGGCAGGCTATGATATAGTACAAGCCACTAGCCTGCCTCTTAGAACCTCTCATTTCCTTTCCATCATGGAAATCTATCCTCAAGGAAATCACTTCTCAGTGTTCCATCTGCTATTCTGCTACTTCTCAGGGATTATTCAGGCCCCCTCCCTTCCCTACACATCAAGCTCAGGGATTTGCCCCCACCCAGGACTGGCAAATTAGCTTTACTCAACATGCCCCGAGTCAGGAAACTAAAATACCTCTTGGTCTAGGTAGACACTTTCACTGGATAGGTACAGGCCTTTCCCACAGGGTCTAAGAAGGCCACCACGGTCACTTCTTCCCTTCTGTCAGTCAAAATTACTCGGTTTGGCCTTCCCACCTCTAGGCAGTCCAATAGTAGACCGGCCTTTATTCATCAAATCAGCCAAGCAGTTTTTCAGGCTCTTGGTATTCAGTGAAACCTTTATATCCCTTACAGTCCTCAGTCTTCAGGAAAGGTAGAATGGACTAATGGTCTTTTAAAAACACACCTCACCAAGCTCAGTCACCAACTTAAAAAGGACTAGACAGTACTTTTACCTCTTTCTTTTCTCAGAATTTAGGCCTGTCCTCAGAATGCTACAGGGTACAGCCCATTTGAGCTCCTGTATGGACGCTCCATTTTATTAAGCCCCAGTCTCATTCCAGACATCAGACCAACTTGGACTGTGCCCCAAAAACTTGTCATCCCTACTATCTTCTGTCTAGTCATACTCCTATTCACCGTTCTCGACTACTCATATATGCCCTGCTCTTGTTTACACTGCCGGTTTACACCGTTTCTCCAAGCCATCACAGCTGATATCTCCTGGTGCTATCCCCAGACTGCCACTCTTAACTCTTAAAGTAAATAAATAATCTTTGCTGGCAAGGCTATGCTGAACCTCCTTAGGCACTCTCTAATTAGATGTCCTAAGTCCTCCCAATTCTTAGTCCTTTAATACCTGTTTTTCTCCTTCTCTTATTCCCTTTAGTTTTTCAATACATACAAAACCGTATCCAGGCCATCACCAATAATTCTAAATGACAAATATTTCTTCTAACAGTCCCACAATGTCACCCCTTACCACAAAATCTTCCCTCAGCTTAATCTCTCCCACTCTAGGTTCCCATGCTACCCCTAATCCCGCTCAAAGCAGCCCTGAGAAACATCGCCCATTATCTCTCCATACTATCCCCCCAAATTTTCGCCATCCCAACACTTTACCACTATTTCGTTTTATTTTTCTCATTAATATAAGAAGACAGGAATGTCAGGCCTCCGAGCCCAAGCTAAGCCATCATATCCCCTGTGACCTGCACATCCACATCCAGATGGCCGGTTCCTGCCTTAACTGATGACATTCCACCACAAAAGAAATGAAAATGGCCTGTTCTTGCCTTAACTGATGGCATTATCTTGTGAGATTCCTTCTCCTGGCTCATCCTGGCTCAAAAGCTCCCCTACTGAGCACCTTGTGACCCCCACTCCTGCCTGCCAGAGAACAACCCCCCTTTTTCCTTTACCTACCCAAACCCTATAAAACAGCCCCACCCCTATCTCCCTTCACTGACTCTCTTTTCGGACACAGCCCTGCACCCAGGTGAAACAAACAGCCTTGTTGCTCACACAAAGCCTGTTTGGTGGCCTCTTCACAGGGACGCAAGTGAAACTGCACACCTAAAAATATCTGATCTTTGACAAAGTCAACAAAAACAAGCAATGAGGAAATGACTCCCTATTCAATAAATGGTGCTGGTATAACTGTATAACCATATGCAGAAGATTGAAACTGGACCCCTTCTTTACATATATACAAAAAAAAACTCAAGATAAAGACTTAGATGTATGACTTCAAACTATAAAAACCCTAGATGATAACCTAGAAAATACTATTCCTGATATAGAAGCTGGCAAAAATTTCATGACAAAGACTCCAAAAACAATTGCAACAGAAACAAAAATTGACAAATACAACCCAATTAAATTAAAGAGCTTCCGTTCAGTAAAAGAAGCTATCCCCAGAGTAAACAGACAACTACAGAATTGAAGAAAATATTTTCAAACTATGCATGACAAAGGTTTAATATCCAGAAACTATGAGGAACTTAAATTTATAAGCAGAAAAGAAACTATCCCATTAAAAAGTGGGCAAAGGATATGAACATGCACTTTTTTCCAAAGAAGACATACACATGGCCTTCAAGCAAATGAAAAATACTCAAAATCACTAATCATTAGAGAAATCAAATCAAAACCACAATGAGATACTATCTCATACGAGTCAGAATGGCTTTTATTAAAAAGTCATAAAATAACAGATGCTGGTAAAGTTGCACAGAAAAGGGAATGCTCATACACTGCTGATGAACGTAAATTAGTTCAGCCACTGTGGAAAGCAGTTTGGCAATTTCTCAGATAACTCAAAGCAGAATTACCATTCGACCCATCAACCCCCATATACAGTATATACCCAGATGAATATAAATCATCCTACCATAAAGACACATGGACCTGTAGGTTGATCACAGCACCATTCACAACAGCAAAGACATTGAGTCAACCTAAATGCCCATGTATGGTAGACTGGATAAAGAAAATGTGATGCATATACACCATGGAATGCTATGCTTTCATAAAAGAAGTATATTGTGTTCCTTGCAGCAATGTGGATGGAGCTGGAGACCATTATTCTAAGCGAATGAACACAGGAACAGAAAAACAAATACCACAGGTTCTTAGTTATAAGTGGGATCTAAACACTGATTACGGATGGACACAAAAAAGGGAACAGCAGACACTGGGGCTAATTGAGGGTGGAAGGACGGAGGAAGGTGGGAGTCGAAAAACTGCCTATGAGGTACTACGCTTATTACCTAGGTGATGAAATAATCTGTACACTAAGCCCCTGCAACACACAGTTTACTGATATAATAAACCTGCACATGTTTCCCTGAACCAAAAATAAAAGTTAAAAATAAATAAATCAAATTTTAATGCTTGATTGCGCGTACTACAAAAGTATTCTCCAAAGTGGTTAAAGTAGTATGCACTACCATCAGTAATGTATATGAGTACTTATTTTATTGTGGTCTAATTTGTTGCTTGACATTCCTAGGATTGTTTGTAAACTACAAATCAGCAATTCTCTTTTTCACTTCTCTCACTTTACGGTTTGATAGAAAAAATGCAGATTTCTCCATGCAAGTTTTAAAGTATAATTCATTATTTTATTATGTATTTTCACAACCTCCCCCATTCCTTCCCAATATAAAATATGCACTTATAAATAACTATGTCTCTATAACTTCAATCTAATTAAATGAAATATAAATTGCAAATGCCAGGCATTCATCAAGACAGTTGTGGATCAGAACAAAGGACCAAAACTGTATAAACAGGGGAAACAATATAGCTTTCCCCAGTTTAGAACCAAAATGAGCAGGACACTTTGAATTAAAGAAAGAAAGGAAAAGACAGGAAGTAAGGAAAGACGGAAGAAAGAAATAAAGGAAAAAAGGTGAGACAAAGCAAGCAAGCAGGGACATTTAGAATCAAATCAGTTTTGAAACTGGTTCACCCTGGGGCTAGGAAACTGGAGAGGGAGGATAATTGGCTGCGGCTACAAAAGCATAGCAAAATCCTTTTGATGGAAAAATTCTCTGTCTTAACTGTGGTACAGATCTCATAAATCTATACATGTAATAAAATTACACAGAAATTCCATAAACACACTCAGAAGTGCATGTAAAATGAGAAGTCTGAATAAGTCTATTAGGACTCACTTAATGTCAATTTCCTGATCGTGGTAGTATACTCTGGTTACCAGACGTTATCATTCTGGGGCACTAGGAGAAGAGTATACCAGATTTGGGGTCTCTGTGTACTATTTTTACTGCATGTGAAACTATAATTATCTCAAAGCAGAGAAGTTTTTAAAACATGGGCCCATAATCATCTTATAAAACATAGAAAGGGGTTTGAAGTCTATTTTTCTAAGTCCTATCATTGGGGTCCCTGATTTCAAGTCTCCATGGGTAAATATTAGTAAAGTTTTAATGAAAAACAAATTTTATCTTTCATAACTGTGAATTGGTGTATATTCATTATTTTGAAGCCAATATAATAAAATAAGTATTATGGCATACAATTTTATAACTACAAACCTTTCAAGAGAGGGTCTAATCAAGTAATTTCCCCCCATTATGCTAAAATAGTTAAAAATATAATGAACATGGTACATCTGGTCCAGACTATAAATGGTCTTTAAATTTAACTCAAATAAACAATTTGCAGAATTTGCAATATACATTGCTCTATTATATTAGTTAGTTTCCATTAATAAAAGCTCTTACTTAGTAATCACCTAAATTTTGACATGAGACAATTCTATTTTCTTCTTGTTGAAACTGAAGATTCATAGAGCAATTTTAGAAAAAAAATAAATGAATAAATGAATAAACAGTTTATAGGGAAACAAGAGTGATGACAGGAATTTAGAAAGGGGGAAGCCTTCTTTATTTTGGAGATTTCACAACTTTCAACTGCTGAGAAAATTTCTTACACAGGAGAGAAAGAGATAATAAATGAGTCTTAGAGCTGTCAGAAACTTTCTCTAAGGAAACATTCACAAGAAGAATTCTGTACTCTTAAATCAAAAAGAGAAAATTCAAGAGTTGCATTAAGGAAATAATTATATAAGTACCAAGAGAAGCAATCCCCCATAGAAGCCTAATACTACCCCAAAGAACAAAAGAGAATCTCTAGATAGTGCCTATAGCCTGGCTTCCTTGCCCTATTATTCTGCATGTGAAGGATGAAGAAAGTTCTCATTTTATATCACTTGTTTGTTCATAGCAGAATTCTTGTTCGGCAAAAATCATTTTTTTCTTATAGTTCAGAAGAGCCGATCTCAGTTTTAGAATGCATATAAATACAAATTTAGTTCCACATTTATTGAAGCTCCATACGTTATAATTGAAAATTTAGTAGAAAGAAAATAAAAGATAATTTTAAGAGATTGAAGCAAAGATTGCTCTGGGAGAGTTGAGTACGCAAGCATAGCCCATCTTGAGAATTCCAGGAAAAATGTCCTTTAGGTGGTAATGTTCAGCTAAGAAAGTGCATTATTTGAGCCCATACATGGAAAAAACATGTAGATTGAACCCATAAAGGAAAAGGGAAAAATTATTTATAAATTTTTATTAACTATTTCTTCATTTAATTTTCTAGAATGTTGCCAGATGTTGCAAAGTTCAAGCTGTAAAGACATTAGCTTTGAAAATAAGTGGCAGGAGTTTGCTTTGTTTCAACATACAGCAAAAAACAAAAACAATAACCAAAATGAAATCAAAAAACAAAAATACATTTTTTATAGCACCAAAATATATTTGGATTTTTCCTATATAATATGATTTGAACTGGTGAAGACAACTTCTTAACATCACCAAATCAACCAGAGTTTTACTTTTTTTTTTCTCTAGGGTAAATACATTTGATCTCTGAAACATTTTTCTTGGTTTTTGTTCTCCCAGACTGCTAGTTTTAATTCTTCCTCTATAGCTGTTCCTTTTTAGCCACCTCAGAAAACACCTGTTCATTGCCTTCTCTTCTCATAAAACTGATTTACTCAGTATCATTACCTTGCCATTTACTCAAACATTCTTCTTTGGTACCATATTTGCTAGCATCACCTTACATTTAGTATTCAGAAATCTATGTATCTGACACAGATATGATAACCAGTTTTCATCTCGGCTCACCACATCTCTGCTCATATGCCAAACATCTTCACAAGTGTCTCAAATTAAAAATTCCTAAACCTACTTTCCATTCTGCATTCTCTATTCTAATGAAGGATGCCACCATACCCAGCTACCAACTCACAGTGCCACACATGACACCTTCCTCTCTCTTATTCACACTTTCAATTTGTCACCAAATCTTATTGTCATCCCCTGCCATTCTCTAAATTATCTTATTGCTCTTCATTCTAAAAGTCAAGGCATTGTCCAGATTATCATAATTTCACCTAGCTTTCTATAAGATCCCCCTTATCAATCTTACTAAATTCACATTTATCTCATTTGAAATAATGTTATGTGATGAATCTAAAGTAATCATAGTATGTGTACTGGATCACTTAATTCTCAAGTCTCTTGAAGAGGTTCACATTGAATTTAGGATTAAGTATCACCCCATTAAAGACACTTTTAGGATCCTATATTCATGTGTATGTCTTCAGCCTCATCTATTTTCACTTCCCCTTCTGACATCACCCTCCTAATATAATGGTTTATATCCAATCTAGGGATATTTATACATTTTTTTCTGAATCTTAAATACTTGCTACTTATTTATCTTATTCTACGTAGGAAATTCTATTATATTTCATGTTTTAGCTTAAACATTTGCTCACCCAATACCTGAATTCTGACACTGAGCGTAATGTTTATTCTTGTTTTTGTGTGGTGGTTAAAATAATCAAATAAATACTATATCCTCTAGAGTTAACAGAGAGAAAACATAAAAGAGTGATTACAGCTGGGCGCAGGGGCTCACGCCTGTAATCCCAGCATTTTGGGAGGCCAAGGCGGGCAGATCATTTTGGGAGGCCCAGGTGGGCCGAGGTCAGGAGATTGAGACCATCTTGGCTAACACAGTGAAACCCCGTCTCTACTAAAAATACAAAAAATTAGCCGGGCGTGGTGGCGGGCGCCTGTAGTCCCAGCTACTCGGGAGGCTGAGGCAGGAGAAAGGCGTGAACCCAGGAGGCGGAGCTTGCAGTGAGCTGAGATCATGCCACTGCACTCCAGCCTGGGCGACAGAGCGAGACTCCGTCTCAAAAAAAAAAAAAAAAAGTCATTACATAAGGAAATGTACAGAAACGGATAAGAAATTTAACAACGGATTTCACTGACAAACAAAACGGATCATGGAAGAAATGTAAAGAGCATAAATCTGCCTTACATACACTCAGATTTATTTCATTCTCTCTTTCTATTCTCATGAGAAAAAAATTATAAAACATATTTTTCAGAAATGTACTAATATTACATGTGAATTATGACACTTATTGTTAAACTTTTATCCCCTTATGTGTGCTAGTCCATCACAAAGCATTTACATCATTTTTTTTCCACCATGAAAACAAAAACAGTGAGCTGTAGTCCTCAGTGTGTACTTAGCATCAAGTTCAAATGTCATGCGGTAGAGAATAACATGAATAGTCAAAAACTTTTGCTAAACTCTTGAGATGAAGTATTATATGGTGATTATAAAAACAGATGCCAAAGCTAGATTGAATCTCTTCAAATATTGGCACTGCCGTTTCCAAACTATGTGATCTTAAATCAGCTACTTAATCTCATCTGTAAAACAGAAATGATATTAGTACACATAATATTGAGTTTGATGCTATTTAAAAGTTATAGGTGTGAATTTGGTAAAACAGTGACTAGCACAAAGTAAACATCTCATAAGTGACTGTTATTATAATAAATTATTTTTGCACCTTGCCATTTGTTACAAGATTTCTGTGAAAGAACAAAAGTACAAAGCAGACTCAAAAGTAACATATTCTAATCTCTTACTCAGTCTAGTCTAGTCAACTATCCAATATATATCAAAGAAAACACTGGATTGGCATTCATGAAAATTTCAGAAATAAACTAGTCAGCAGATGTGAGGACTCATACAAATTAATGTGCAAATTATACCAGGAGTTTTCCATATTAAAAGCGAAGCCATAAAAACAATGAATGAGTCTCTCACTAGGATTTAGGACATCAGGGATGCAGATAAATGTATTTTCCTCTTCTTCTTTTTTTTTTTTTTTTAATAAAGAAGTAGCCTGAAGTTTTTGCAGCATGGGAACTTACCTACTAGCAACAAAATGCTGATGTAGTTATACATATGTGGGACACTTTTGTCTCAGAATCTTACCTGTTTTCAAAGAACCGACACCAATTTGCCAAATACCTCCTCTGTGCTTCGTATCAGAAGAAGGAAAACACCACTCGCCTATACACCCACTATCATGTTATTTCTTAGTAATGGCTTAGTGTCTGACTCATATAAGGAACTTAATAAATATTTGTTAAATAAGTGCTTTATTTATTGGGATTTACACAAGAATAGATTTTATCTTAGAACCTATTCAATGAAATTAGTTTGGTATCAAAAATAACTTAAATGCATGCTCCATAATCAACCTAGCTGAAGTACATTTAATTATTTATGCACTGTTACTAAATAGGGAAGAAGAAGTAAAATATGAAAACTAGTTGGGGGCCTCTGGTATCTGACTTACATTAAAATGTGACTTCATCACTAACCAGCCATGTAAATGATTTATTTCTATGTCAGTAACATAGAGTAATCTTCATCTTATCACAGATATAATACTTTTTTATATATACACATTTATTTACGTACATAAAAGAAGAATTACGTGAAATAAAACAAGTTACTACCTCCTGTATTCTTTATACTCAATTAGGTCTATTCAAGATTATAGAGGAATTACAGGGCATGACCAGTTCTGCCATCAGCCATCAAGAAACTTATGATTTTGTTGTTAGGATAGAATTCATCAAGCCACTTAATCAGTTTGTATCTCAGAAATGGTTAGTACCTAGTGGATTTCCTGCACTGGACTAAATGTACAGGTTATGGGGAAAGCAGAATACAGAGAAATGACACATTTGTTCTTCCTTGAAGAAGCTTTCAAGTATTAAATGTGGCATGTCCAGAGTTCATAACTTTAAAATAGAAGATCTGGACTTTTTTGTCAAAATGTCTTTCCAACTTAATATTCTATATACTACAGCCATACAATAACAAACAACTCAAGAATATAGGTTAGAGACAAAATATTAAATACAAGCATCATTAAGTGTCAGATTTTTAAGGCAAGTTATTAGGAGGAAGATATTAGTAGGATTTGGATGGAACAAAATTGAACTAATTCCAGAGCATGGCAGACAATATGATTGTGGACACGGAGTCAAGAATTAAAAAGTGCAAGTAGGCTAAAGTATCAGCGAAGAGGTTTTTTTTTCAAAATCTGATTGTGCATAGATAAAATTCCAGGGTGGAATTTGAGAACTAAGATGGAGATAAAAGAAAGACAATAAGATATATATTTCAGAAGTCAAATAGATATGATGCCCAAACGAAAGTAATGAATAAATACGACTCTATGTTTTCACACTGAAGTTATTGGAAGAAGGAGGATATAACCAACCGACATAGAAACACAGGAGACATGTGTTTTTTGAGGAAAGCAATACTTTTTGTTCTTGACACATTGAGTTATAAGTGATGTTGAGTTACTCACCAAGTAGAAAGCTAAATGATGCAAATGATAAATTAACTGGAGTAAATGGTAGAGATTTAGACTCTGAAGGAATCTGTAAAAATAAAAGCTTACATAGTAAGAGTAGGTAACCCATGAAGGGAGAACACAACATTCCAAGAGCTAAGATGTGGAGAATAACCACTGCTAGGATTCAAGAGAAGGGAACGTGGATCAAGGAAACATGAAGCTAAATTACGTATGAAATGTTGTCTACATGAGAGCGAATGAAATGTTAATGTGAAATACCTTTAAAACATCACACTTTTTAGGTAAACACATTCTTTTAACATTGAAGAACAAAAATTAGGTAAGAAATAAAATGAAAGAAAGAACAAAAGAAAGAAGGGAAGGAAGAAAAGGAAAGAAGGAAGGATAGAAGGAAAAAAGGAAGGAAGTAAAGTCATTTTATCACAGGTAGATGTTGACATTTTAATTAGCAGACATGCATTACTCTTCTAACTCAAGTCCTGCACACCACATAGTACCTGTAAATTAAAAATGTGAGGGGCTTCTGATGGTGAGATTGAATATTCAATATCATGCTTGGCAAAAAGAACCTTATCTGGTCAACTCTAACATATTACCTGATCTCGTCATAATTAATTTGAGCGTTTCAGAACCATGTATCATATCAGAAAATTCATAACATAGAGATAGCTTTTATTTTGTGTGTCTGAAATGTGAGCAATCATTACCATTACATATATGTAAAATGTTTGTACATTAAAAATTTCTGCTCTTTCATATGAAGATTTTCTTCACATATAGATTTTTGCTAATTCCTGCTTTTGTTTGTTTCTTTCTGGGTTCCTTTGCTTAACCATACTTTTGTTTTACTTAATAGTTTTATTAATATTAGTATTAGTATTACTAGTTTCATTAATTATATTCATTTCCAGGAAATATGCAGTTCATTAAAAAGTATTCCACTACTGTATGTGCATTTTTGCAGGAATAAAAACATTCAGCATCAAATATGGCAGTCAGCATCTTATATTTTCCTTAAAATTTCCAATTATTTGATTATTTACTTTTTAAGTGTTTTTTTAATTTAATTTAATTTTTTTATTTTTATTTTAAGTGTTTTATATGCACCAACTTACCTTTTGCATAAGATAATATTATGAGGTACGTATGATCATTCTACCAATGTTTAAAGATGAGAAAAATGAGTCATGGAGCAGTTAAGTAATCTGCCTTGGCCATACCTGTATGAAAATCCAGATGCTCTCTCAAGACTGAGACTTAAAAACATAAGAGGGTATTTTTGGGGTATTACTGACCTGAAATCATTAGAAAACCTAAAATGTTGGCTATTCTATGATTCTGTTAGTTTTTCTTTTCCCATTCTCATCTTCACTTCATAAAATTTGCCATCGTTTCATATTTTTCTACAAGATTATTTATTCATAACTTGTTTATTTCTAATTATATTCTAGACACTATGATTATTTTTGGATATGTAATACAAATAAAGTAAAGTAACTAATATTTTGGTTGTATGGTTCAAACATTTGATTTTCTGCTAGTGTGAAACAATAAAAGAAGAACATTTAACACAAAACATTCTTTTTTTTCCAAGAAACATATTATTATAAAATTAGTAGAATTGATAATTACCAAATACTGGTTTTGCATGCATTTTTCAAGAACTGATACATTAGAAATTGTAATTTGATAAAATGCAAATGCCTGATTAGCTTTCTAATATTAATTTTGTCTTACGAATCATTGTTGAATTTGACTCTGGTCTGAAGTCGGTTTAAAGAAGAATTCACTTGGAAGTATTTCTCTGCAATTGTAGCTTTAAAGGAACTATATTGTGCCTTCTCTGAGCTTGAGTTTCCAATTGTTTTAGAATTTGGCAATAAAAGACTTTTACAAGTACTTACACCATCCCCTGTTCCCTATTAGGAGAAGTCTTTAATTTTCTGTGTAAATATCTGGAAGAATTTAAGTGCCTTGTTAGCACATTATTTTCTCTTTGGGTATTTTCTGCTCAAACTACCTCTTTTCTATTGGTTAAGTAGCTTTTGTACAAGGAAAATAATTCTGTGGCCCTTGTGGTCAGAAGAAATAAAGATTATAAGATCCCTTTTATCCTCTGCCTGGATGTTCTTCTCTAGTGAAAGGATTCATCAGCAATTTTCTCATTCTTTATTTCTCTTCACTGCTTCAGCCACTGGCAAGCAATGGTATTCATTCTGTGAACCCTGTGTTTCAGGCATCTTGCTTCTTAGCTCATTAATAGAGCAGCTAGAAAGAATGGTACTCTCTTAAAGGTATACTTTCTTTAAAAAAACAAACAACAACAACAACAACAAAAAACAAACAAAAAAGGCTGGGCGTGGTGACTCACCTCTATAATCCTAGTACTTTTGGAAGCTGAGTTGGGCAGATCATTTGAGGCCAGGGATTTGAGACTGGCCTGGGCAGCATGGTGAAACCTCATGTGTACAAAAAATAAAAATTACAAAAATTAGCCAGTCACGGTGGTACACGCCTGTAGTCCCAGCTGAGATGGGAGAATCCCTTGAACTCTAGAGGTAGAGGTTGCAGTGAGCCCAGATTGTGCCACTGCATGCAGCCTGGGAGACAGAGCAAGACTCTGTCAAAAAACAAAACAAAACAAACAAACAAAACAGAATATTTAACATTTTGTCTAAATAAGACTGTTTTTAAACAGAAATATACCGCGACTTTCACAATATTGGAAAAAAGCCTCTGCGACTAAAGTGTTTTTGGCTTTCTGATAAAAATAAATAATTAAGTGGAAAGCCATTGACCTTTTCCTCAACTCTTCTGTCTTACAATTGCCACTCATTTTGACCAGGTTACTGTTATTTTCCCTTAAAATTATGATATAATACTGGTAGCTCACAGCCGGGCGCGGTGGCTCCCGCACTTTGGGAGGCTGAGGGGAGTGGATCACCTGAGGTCAGGAGTATGAGACCAGCTTGACCAATATGGCGAAACCCCACCTCTACTAAAAATACAAAAATTAGGTGAGCCTGGTGGCCCGGGCCTGTAATCCCAGCTACTCAGGCGACTGAGGCAGGATAATAGGCTGGTTGTCCCTATGTATGCTGGGCTCCGGCTGAACCCAGGGATTTTATGGGCCTCAGAGGGAAGAAAGTGCATTCTGATTGGTCCATATTTGGCCCCGGGCAGGCCCAAAAAAGGCACTACAAATTTTCACTCTGGTGTGTGGGACTGGCAGCCAGGCCCCCAGCTTTCAGGCCCTTCCTGGCCTGAAGGTGGGCCTCACCGGGGAACCATTCCCTTTCACTCAGGAACCTGTCTGCCTCCTTCTGCCATTCAGTGTGCCCTGGCTGTAGGTGCCAAGGAGCTCCTGAAGGCCAGTGCCTGAGCTGCCCTAAGCCCCCCATAGGCTTCCCTCCTATGCTCTTTGGTATCCAAAGCCTGGAGTGGGCCAAGGTGACAGGGGCCTGGTGTCTCAGCACTGCCCCCAGTGTGTGCACACCTGGAGGAGCTGTGACAGCACTCAGGCTCAGCTGACTTTGCTCCAAGATTGGAGCAGAACTTGACAGCAGGGAGAAGCCAGGTAGCAGGAGGAGGCACTTCCCAAACTACAAGGGCAGGGGTTCCTTCCTGGGCCCCCCAGAATGCAGGGATGCCTGGGATCACAGCCACGGTTTGGGTGACTGCAGCTGCACCTGGGGTTACAGGGCTCCTTCCTGCTCCATGCAGTGGGAGGCCTGGGTCCACAGCCACAACTTGGGCAGCTGGGGCTACACCCAGGGAGCTCCCACAGTCTGTGAAGAATGCAGCCCCAGCTGTGCCCCTCCACTGCGGCCAGTGATGGAGTGCCACTCCAGATGCGCCGCCTCTTCCATCATTGGGTCTAGTACAGAACACATGATCAAACTCTTCCATTTAATCAAATATTGTATGTCAAATCTGAAACTTTGGAGAGCAACCAATGTAAGCCCCAATACATAAGTACTTAAAGCAGAAATCTTTATATTGGGGCCATGGTATCAAAGGAAAACACTTGTTAAAAGCTATATTCTTTGTTTTCTGTATCCTCAACATTCATATATAGCCACATCCAGTAGAAATAAGTGTGGCTAGTGATGAATATTGTAGATTGAATTCCCCTTGAAATGTGCATTTACTAATATGGAATCTTCACTTTAACTGATTGTTCTGGAAAAATTGTGGGTTTATCTAATTATTAAGATACTTCCAGAAGCAATAGGACACTTTGGCTACTACCTTCCAGAGTAAGATCTTACTATTTTTTCAAAAGCAGAGATTTTTCTAAGTTAAAAAATTCCCCAGAGTATTTAGATTTAAAATAAGGGCTTTACTTTTTATTGTATCATTTTCTTCCATATTTTAAAATAATAACTACACTAGATAATAGCATAATATGAGAGTCAAAAATTCTGATAATTTAAAAATGCTTATTTTTTCTCAGAATTGTACAGTTAATAAGTAAATATACTTGATATTGTTTTTTATTTATTTTTCTTCAAGTCAGTGTATTCAAGTCTTTGAAAGAAACCACCTGTATTCACCTATACTATAAGAATACAGGGTAATATTGCTATCATTTAATGATATTAATACAGAAACAATGAAGCAAAACAAAAAATTTAGAAAAATAGAACTTTAAAAAATATACATAAATGAGAACAGAAGAAAAATGCACAAAATATAAGAAAGACACATATAATTTTAGAAAAACTATATATTGCATCACATTATAAGAGGAATTCATAATTTAAAAGATGAAATACGCGATATTAAGATAAAAAAGAAATAAAAATATATCAGACAATGCCTAAGATAGACATTAAGGAAAAAATAAAAAATGATTTCATATAATTTAACTATCAATTATAAACACTGAAAGAACATAAATAGCCCTATAAAAATCCAGGATATCAGTGACAGTCGCCAGGACTCACAAATTTTAAGAAATAGTTATAATGACAAATCAATAAAATAAAGAATAAAACAAATTTATAAATATTAAAGAATTCTGAAGGTATCTCATCCCTTAATAAATGAAAAAGTAACTTAAAATTATAACTTAGCTATCTAAGAAATGTTTCCAAAATATGTCACAAGTGGAGAACATATGAAGTATGTGGCCGTATTACCACTTTGGAGCAGAAATATAGGAAGGGTAAAATGAAAAGGGCAGAAGAAGTTTTGTTTGCACTAGTACCCTGAAAATCTGATAGGGTGTTCCACATTAAGATGTCTAATGCTAACTTTTATTTCAAGGTGTTTTCAGAACTTCTCAAGAAATCCCCTACACTGAGCATCTCTCTCCAACAGTTCCTTTACCTGAGAGTCTGATTCCTTTCTTCATACAGTGGTGTACATTTATTTCCCCACTTCGAGGAGTTCCCTTGGTTCATATCAAGCCTCATTCTGCTCACCTCCCATCTTTGCTGTAGTTGGCTGAAGTATATAAAATCTAAAGTAATCTCATCTACTCTCAATAAGGTAATGTCTTCACAAACTTGCCCTACTCCAGTCTTCTGAGTTTTTATTATTCTATAAGTGAAGAAATTTAAGAGCCCTCAAGAGTCCTGGAAGAAACTCTATTCAATTTCCTTTGACAATCTGATTATTACCATTTGATATTTTGCTTTTGAACTTTATATTTATCGTATGACCATGCCATGCATAAACTTAAATTTTAAAATACAATTGGAAGAAAAACTGAAATGAATGAGAAGAAAAATAAGCATGATGGTGAGGGAACTTCAAACTAAGTAAAATAAGGCAAGCATGACCTTGTGTCTTTTCACTATAAAAAAGATAAATTTGAGCAAATGATATTTATCTCTAAATATTTGAGGAAATAACAATGAGATATTGAAATATTGATAAGGAGTAAAACTATTTTCAGAAAGCGAACATTTCTGGAAGATTTTTTTTCTTAGTGAAATGAACATCTTTCTCAGAAATGAAAAAATAAATGTTGAATATATCAAAAATAAATGAGTAAATAAAATAAAAACAAAATAGTTATCATCATAAGTAATAAGTGCTTACTGGTAAGAGAAGATATGAAGGGCATTGATTTATGAATTACCTAAATAGTTTCCTGTATCATACTTTCCTATATTATGTATAATATTTTTTATACTCCACACTATAACTGGGTAGAGGATACACATACACACACACACACACACACTCTGTCTCTCACTTTCTCACATATGCTACATCTTTTACTGTTCAGGAAACAAGATTTGTTTTTCCTGCTCAACTTTGTGACTGAATTCAGAGCCTTGAAATATTGTTTGGTGAATATATAAACATAATCTTATCAAAATGAATTTCACATTCAAACATTAAAAAGTGCTCTGAATTTCTCTGGCTATTTGAAAAAGAAGCAGGGAATTCTAAGTATTGAAACAACTGAAACTTTAAGTAAAACAGCTTTCTTAACCAAGACTGATTTTTTAAAAACTGAAGTTATCACTATTTCACACTTTATATTTTGTAGTTTTTCATTTGTAAAGAAACTCTTCAATTCTCCTCATACATTTTTATACATACCAAATATAAAAATAATGCAATTATGTTATATATGCCATTTGTATAATTAGAGTCTAGAATTCCTCTGCAGTCCTTGATTTTTTTTGTTATATGCCTTTGTTTTCAAAGAAAGCTTATTTCAGAAAGCCCAGAAATTACATCCCTGTTTCACACTGACTAGGGTGATAGTAGCCATTATTTTTTTTTTCCTTCCTGAAAATAAATAAATGAGTAAAGCAGAAAGCACTTATTTTTTAAATGTTAAAATGTTTGCACAAATTTAAATGAAAACAATCTTTATTTATCTCTACTATAGTTTGAATGTGTTACTATCACTAAACAACCAAGGGTACAGTTCAATAGATCCTGGAGTGATGGACAGATGGAAAGAAAAGTCTACTGGGTGCTTTATTAGTTCTCTTCCATTCTTGAGCTGGTAATCGGTAAAAAAGCTTTGTCCTAAAATAAGTTGAATATTTCACTGGTAAAAAGTGATTATCTTCTTTTTTCCCATGACTGACCTTAATAACTCACAAACTCCATAGGCACTTTGTGATGTCTGTGAGTTATGAGACTTTCATACTCATGAAAGAAATATAATAATCACCCTTCACTACAGTGATATTCTACACCCTTCATATTAAATCAGTAAAAGGCACATGGTTCCTTGTAATTGCAAGAAGGCTGAATAAACATGTCAGATAGCTATCTAAATTCAGATATGTGACAACTGTGGATCATTGTTTGGAAAAGGGTTTTTATATCCACACTGTCAATATTTTAAAAATCAGTACATTTTATTAACTTGAATGAGGAAAATATGATTCAATACAGCCTCTAAATTTTAGGAGGGTTCTTGACTTATTTTGTAATTGCTTGTTTAAGCATTATTACATTTACATTGAAAAATTCAACTAGGATATGTTAGTATGCCATTATATTTTTATTAGAAAGAGTTAGCACATATGTTAACTTCTAATTTGTATAAATTATTTACAAAGCATCCACCCTACTATGTAAAAATCATGAGGATGCCAACAAAATTAGTTTCCTGACAACATCAAGGTAGATGCATAGACTGCGTTAACAGAAATTAATAGGTAATGGAATTTCTCCTGAGAAATATAAATAATGTATAGCTCTTTACTTATTGAATAAATAAGACTAAACAAAGAAGATAGAAGGATAAGGGAAAAAGACATTTTATATTTTAAAAGGAACAGGCTTGTAAAAATATTATCAGTGTTCTAATTTCATTTATGAATAAACTCTGGCTTGTGTATTTGGCCAACTAAAGATAGGAACCAATTATATTATTAATTTTTTTAAATTAACAAATACAAAATTTTAATAGCTTTCTGTCATATAGTTTTAACATGTGTAGATTTGTGTAACCACTATCACAATGGTGACATTGACTAATTCCATCATTCAAAAACTCCTTATGATGCTCCTTTGAAATCCCATCCTCTCCCTATCTCTCACTTCTAGCAATGCTGAAAATTTATTACTGTATGTTCGCTTTCCAGAACATTATATAAATATAATTATACAGTATATAATCATTTGAGACTGACTTCTGTCATTCAGCAGAATGCCTTTGAAATTCACTAATGTTGCAACATCTAAAAATTGTGCCTTTTTAAAATTTTCTTTTCTTTTTTTTTTTTTCTGTACATAGTAGGTGCATATATTTGGGGATTACGTAATATATTTTGATACAGGCACGGAAGGCATAATAATCACATCAGTGTAAATAATAGGGTATCCATTCCCTCAGGCATGAATGCTTTGTGTTATGAACAATAAACTATATTCTTTTAGTTGTTTTCAAATGTGCAATTAAATTATTTTTTACTACAGTCACCCTGTTGTGCAATTAAATACTAGGTCTTATTCATGCTTTCCAACTACTGTTTTGTAGTTAACCATCCCCAGCTTCCTCCACCCTCTCCACTACACTTATCTTCCTTTGGTAACCATCCTTCTACTCTGTATCTCCATGAGTTTAATTGATCCATTTTTAGAGCTCATAAATAATTGAGAACTTGCAATGTTTGTCCTTCTGTGCCTGGCTTATTTCACTTTATACAATGACTTCTAGTTCCATGAACGCTGTTGAAAATTGCTGAAACTTATTCTTTTTTTTATGGATGAATAGAGCTCCATTCTGTATGTGTAGCAGATTTTTTTAATCCATTCATGTGCTGATGGACACTTAGGTTGCTTCCAAATCTTAACTATTGTGAACAGAGCTGCAACAAACATGAAAGTGCAGGTATCTCTCTGATATATTGATTTACTTTCTTTGGAGTATATATCCAGCAGTGAGATTGCTGGGTCATATGGTAGCTCTACTTTCTGCATTTTGAGGAACCTCCACGCTGTTGTTCATAGTGGTTTTATGAATTTACATTCCAACTACGGTGTACAAGGATTTCCTTTTCTTCACATTCTTCCCAGCATTTACTATTACCTGACTTTTGGATAAAAATCATTTTAACTGGGGTGAGATGATATCTCATTGTAGTTTTGATTTTTGTTTCTCTGATAATCAATCATATCAAGCAACTTTTCATATGCCTCTTTGCCATTTGTATATCCTCTTTCGAGAAATGTCTATTCAGATCTGCGCATTTGAAAAAAATCAGATTATTAGATTTTCTCCTATGGAGTTTTTCGAGTTTCATATATATTTGGGTTAATAATCGCTTGTCAAGTGGGTAATTTGCAAATATTTTCTCCAATCCTGTGGGCTGTCAGCTCACTTTTTTAATTGTGTCCTTTGCTGTGCAGTTTTTTTGACTTGATGTGATCTCATTTGTTCATTTTTGCTTTGGTTGCCTCTACCTGTGGGGTGTTTCTCAAGAAGCCTAATGTACTGGAGGGTTTCCCAAATATATTCTTGTAGTAGTTTTTTAGTTTGAGGCATTTGACTTAAATCTTTAATCCCTTTTGATTTGATTTTTTTTTTTTTTTTTTTCTCCACGGAGTTTTGCTCTTGTTGTTCAGGCTGGAGTGCAATGGTATGATCTGGGCTCGCTGTAACCTCTGCCTCCTGGGTTGAAGTGATTCTCCTGCCTCAGCCTCTCAAGTGGCTGGGATTACAGGCTCATGCCACCACATCCGGCTAATTTTGTATTTTTAGTAGAGACAGGGTTTGACCATGTTGGTCAGGCTGGTCTCGAACTCCCGATCTCAGGTGATCTGCCTGCCTCAGCCTCCCAAAGTGCTGGGATTACAGGCATGAGCTACCACACCTGGCCTTGATTTTTTTTTTTTTTTATGTATAGCAAGAGATGGGGGGTTCAGTTTCATTTTTCTGCATATAGATATCCAGATTTCCTAGAACCACTTATTGAAGGGGCCATCCTTTCCCCAATTAATGTTCTTGAAAGCTTTGTTGAAAAAGAGTTAATTGTAGATGTATGAATTTATTTCTCGGTTCTTTATTCTGTTTCACTGATTTATGTATCTTCTTTTATGGCAGTACATGCATTTTGGTTACTATAGCTATATAGTATAATTCGAAGTCATGTCACATGGTTCCTCCAGTTTTGTTCTTTTCGCTCAGGAGATCTTTGGCAATTCTGGCTCTTTTGTAGATCAACATAAATTTTAGGATTTTTAAAAATTTCTGTAAAGAGTGTTATTGGTATTTTGATGGGGAGTGCACAAAATCTGTAAATTGCTTTGGGTGGTGTATTAGTCTGTTCTCACACTGCTATGAAGAAATACCCGATACTGGGTAATTTATAAAGGAAAGAGGTTTAATTGATTCATAGTTCCATACGGCTGGGGAGGCCTCAGGAAACTTACAATCGTGGTAGAAGGGGAAGTGAACACATCCTCCTTCACAGGGAGGCAGGAGAGAGAAGTGCCAACCTTCTTCACAAGGAGGTAGGAGAGAGAGGTACCAAGCAAGGGAAATGGGCCTTTAAAGCCATCAAATCTCATGAGAACTCACTATCAAGAGAACAGCATGGGGTAACCACTCCCATGATTCAATTACCACCCCACGTGGTCCTTCTCACAACACGTGGGGATTATGGGAACTACAATTCAGGAAGAAACTTGGGTGGGAACACAGCCAAACCATATCAGCTAGTATGAACATTTTAAGAATATTGATTATTCTAATCCATGAACATGAAATATTTTCCATTTTTTAAGTGTCCTCTTCCATTTCTTGCAACATTTTTATAGTTTTCATTTTAAAGATCTTTCATTTCTTGGGTTAGATTAATTCCTTTGTATTTTATTTTATTTTTAGCTACTGTACATGGGATTACTAACAAATTATTTTTCAGATTGTTTGCTGTTGTTATATACAAATATTACTGCTTTTTGTGTGTGAATTTTGTATCCTGCTAATTCAGTGAATTTGGTGATCAGTTTTATTACCTTTTTGGTATATTCTTAAGGACTTTCCTAATATAAGATACATCATCTGCAAACAAGGATAATTTGACTTCTTCCATTCCAATTTGGATGCCCTTTATTTGTGTCACTTATCTGATCGCTCTAGCTGTATTTCCAGTACTATGATGAATGACAATGGGCATTCTTGTTGTGTTCCCGATTTTAGAGCAAAGGCTTTCAGTTTTTCCCCATTCAGCATGATACTAGTTGTGAGTCTGTCAAATACAACTTTTATTTTGTTGGGGTATGCTTCTTCTACAACCAGCTTTTTTAGGGTATTTATTCTACAGAGATGTTGAATTTTACTAAAGGCTTTTTTAGTATCAGTTGAAATGATCATATGGTTGCTGTCCTTCATTTTCCAATTTATTGACACAGCATTGCTCATAGCAGCCACTCATGATCCCCTGAATTTCTGTGGTATCAGTTGCAATGTCTTCTTTTTCATCTCTGATTTTATTACTTGGTCTTTGGTTTGCTCTTGAATTTTAATTTGTTTACTTA
Organism: Homo sapiens; assembly: GCF_000001405.40. NCBI lineage: Eukaryota > Metazoa > Chordata > Mammalia > Primates > Hominidae > Homo > Homo sapiens. The sequence goes on along the minus strand of NC_000003.12, from coordinate 166,481,459 downwards.
AATTTTTTTTCTTTTTTGATGTAATGACTTATGGCTATAAACATTCCTCTGAGTACTGTTTCTGCTGTGTCTCATAGTTTTTGATATTTTGTGTTTCAATTATTACTTGTTTCAAGAAATTTTTCAATGTTTTTCTTAATTTCTTCATTTACCCTTTGGTCCTTCAAAAACATGTTGTTTAATTTCCATGTGTTTGTATAGGTTCCAAAATTCCACTTATAATTTATTTCTAGTTGTATTCTATTGTGGTCAGAGAGGATTTTTAATATTATTTTAATTTTTTGAATGTTTTTAAGATTTGTTTTGTAAAGTAACATATGGTCTGTCCTTGAGAATGATCCATGTGCTGATGAGAAAAATGTGTATTTTGTAACCATTCTGTGGCCACTGGATGAAGTGTTGTGTAAATATCTATTAGGTTCATTTTATCTGTACTACAGATGAAGTCTAATTTTTTTTGTTAATTTTCTTTCTGAAAGACCTGTCCAATCCTGAAAGTGGGGTGTTGAAGACTTCAGCTATTATTGTATTAGTGTCTGTCTTTCTAATTAACTCTAATAATATTTGCTTATTATATCTGAGTGCTCCACTGTTGGGTGCATATATACTTACAATTGTTATGTCCTCTTGCTAAATTGACTGCTTTATCATTATATAGTGACCATGCTTGTCTCTTCTTAAAGGTTTTGCCTGGAAATTTATTTTCTTTAATGTAAGTATAGCTACGTAAGATCCTTTATCATTTCCATTGGCATAGAATATTTTTTTCTATCCCTTTATTTTTAGTCCATGCATGTCTTTATAGGTGAACTGTGATTCTTGTTGGCAACAGATCTTTGGATCTTGTTTTTTGTTGTTGTTGTTTACTTTTGTTTTGTTTTAATCCACTTAGCCACTCTGTGTCTTTCAGTTGAAGACTTAAGTCATTTAGAGTCAATATTATTATTGATAAGTAAGCACTTACTTGCACTATTTCATTATTAATCTTGTGTTCCTTCTTTCCTTCGTTCTTGCCTTTTTTTAGTCTTGTCTTTCTTTAGTCTTGTCTTTCTTTTTAGTCCATTTTCACCTCCAGAATTTCTAGTTGATTCTTTTTAATTATTTCAATATTTTTGTTCAGTTTATCTGCTGATATGATTTAATTTAATGCTTTTTATTTTTGGATCTGTTGTGATTTTTATGTGAAATTATCATGAGGCTTGCAAATACTATCTTATAATTTATTATTTTAAGCTTATAGCAACTTAACACTACTTGCATAAACAAACAAAGCAACAACAAAAAAACTAATAAAAGCTCTATTCCTTAACTTCATCTCCTTCCTTCTTAACTTTTTGTTGTTTCTATTTAAATGTTATTGTACTGTCTATGTCTAGAAAAGATGTTATTATTTTGATTGGTTCATCATTTAATCTTTCTACTTAAGAGTAGCTTACACATCACAGTTACAGTGATATAATATTTTTGTTTTTCTGTAACTTAATGCTACCAGTACATTTGTACCTCACATTATTTGCCATTATTTATTAATGTTTTTGGTTTTCTGATTGAAGTATTCCCTTTAGCATTTATTGTACACTCAGGTTTTTGCTGCTGCTGTTGTTGTTTAGTTGTTGTTTTTTGTTTCTTTGTTTGTTTTGTTTTTGTTTTTGTCTGGGAAAATCTTTATGTCTCCTTCATGCAAAAAGGTTACTTTTGCCAGAAATGGCATTCTAATTCTAGGGTAAAAGTTTTTTGTTTTTGTGTGTGTGTGTTGTTGTTGTTGTTGTTTTCTTTTAGCACTTTAAATATGTCATGCCACTCTCTTCTGGCCTGTAATGTTTCACTGAAAACTCTGCTGCCAGACATATTGGAGCTCCATTATATGTTATTTGTGCCTTTTCTCTTGCTGCTGTTAGCATCCCTTCTTTATCTTTGACCTTTGGGAGTTTTATTATTAAATGCATTGAGGTAGTCTTATTTAGGCAAAATCTACTTAGTGTTCTATAGCCTTCTTATACTTGAATATTGAAATCTTTCTCCAGATTTGAAAAGTTCTCTGTTATTATCCCTTCGAATAAGCTTTCTGTTCCTATCTCTTTCTATATCTCACCTATAAGCCAATAACTCTTAGATTTGCCCTTTTGAAGCTATTTTCTAGATCCTGTAGGCATGCTTCATTGTTTTTTATTCTTTTACTTTTGTGTTCTCTGACTGTATATTTTAAAATAGTCTGTCTTCAAACTCACTAATTCTTCTGCTATGTTAATTCTGCTATTTAAGGACTCTGCTGCATTCTTCAGGATGTCAATTGGATTTTCCAACTCCAGAATTTCTGCTTGATCCTTTTTAATTATTTCAATCTCTTTATTAATTTTGTCTGGTAGAATTCTGAATTCTTTTTCTTGATTATCTTGTATTTATTTGAGTTTCCTCAACATAGCTATTGGGAATTCTCTGTCAGAAAGATCACATATCTCTGTTTCTACAGGATTCGTCCCTCTTGACTTATTTATTTCATTGGTAAGGCCATGTTTTTCTGGATGGTCTTGATATTGTGGACATTTTTCTGTGTGCATTGAAGAGTCAGATATTCATTGTAGTCTTCACAGTCTGAGCTTGTTTGTGCTTGTCCTTCTTGGTAAAGCTTTACAGATATTCAAAAGGACTTGGATGTTGTGATCTCAGCTGTATATGCATTAGGCAGCACCATAAGCCCAGTAACACTGTGGTTCTTGCAGACTAGTGAAGCTGCTTTGATGCTGTTGAACAAAATCTGGAAGAATTTGCTGAATTACCAGGCAGAGATTCCTGATCTCTTCCCTTACTTTCTTTGAAACAAACAGAGCCTCTCTCTGCTCCGAGTCACCTAAAGCTTGGGGTGGAGTGACACAAGCACTGTCATGGTCACCACCACTATGACTGTGCTGGGTTATACCTGAAGCTAGCACAGCACTTGCCCAAGGCTTGTTTTAACCACTTCCTGGCTACCACCTATGTTCACTCAAGTCTCTGGGCCTCTAAAATCAGCAGGTGTTTTAAAGCTAGTCAGATCTCTGTCCCTCCTTTTAGGGTGGTGAGTTTCAGCAGGCCCTCGGTGGGTCCAGAGGTGCTATCTCGGAGTCAGGGACTAGAGTAAAAACCTTAGACCTATGCCTCATGTTGTATTGTACTGTGGCTTAGCTGACATTGAAACCACAAGATGCAGTTTTTTCCCAATCTGCTCTCCTTTTACCAAAGGAGACTATCCTCAAGCTGTGAGCCAACACCACCACAGGCCCACAGAAAGGACTGCCAGACTACTGCAGATGTTTCCTTAAGGACCAAGCTTTTGGTGAATACTGCCTGGGTTGGGACTCACCCTTCAGGAAAGTGAGCTCACCCTTGTGCTTGGGCAGGTCATAAAATGCTATCCAAGAACCAATGACTGGAATTGGGACCCCTAAGAGCCTGCTTGGTGCTTTACCTCACTGTGGCTAAGCTGGTACTTAAGGGACTAGACAGAGTCCCCTTTACATTTTCCTCTGCTTTTCTCAGGCAGCAAGAGATCTGGGAATATGATGACTGGTGTTTTGTTTTGTTTTGTTTTGTTTTTGTTTTTTTGTTTTTTCCTCCTCAGTGCCTCTTTCAGCAATATACAGTTAAAACATGTACTGTCAGTGATCACCTGATTTTCGTTCCTGTGAAGGTGTTTCTTTGGTGTTTAGGTAGTAGTTTATTTGGTGTGCTTTCTAGGGGGATCATTGCTGGAGCCTTCTTTTCTGACATCTTGTTCTGCCTCCCTCCTGTTTCTTTTTTATTGCTAAGTAGTATTGCATTTTATACTAGGGGCAAGACTGTGGAACCCACCATAGGGAGTTCAGCTTTTTCTTATTGTCAAGTCAATCATTTTATCATGTGATCTGAATTACACACACACACACACAAACACACACACATACACAAGTTCACTCTAGTTGTAGTTGTTCTGTGGATAATAGGTAAGAGTAAAAGGATGAATAAAGGTAGAATGGCTAGGAAGCTAGAGCTGTAGTCAGACAGAAGATACAGTATTGTATTTTGGGGGTACCCATGGTGGATGTGGAAATAAAGGAACAAATACAATATATACTTGCAAAGTGAGTTGATAGGATTTGTGGTATAGGGCATTTTTAAAAATTAATTTCTAGTGACTTTGAGATTTCTGAAGATTTAGATGCCACTGGATCACTTTGTTTTTATAACCCTAGTTTTCTACTAAGTGAGCAGAGTAACTATATAATTATATTCTGTTACAAAGTCCTAATAGGAAACCATATTAAAGATGTGAAAAAATGATGTTATATGTCTTATGTCTTTGCCAATGAATATCTTAAAATCCACTCCAATACTCAATGACAATAGAACAAATGTGGAAAGATTGGCAGACATCTTTCAGTATACACTTACAGTAGGTGTTATACTATACTATTGAATAATTTATACAATTTGTTGATATTTTTGCTTGTTTTCTATTTTTACTTATACTCTCTTAGTAGTGTATAGAATAAGAATTGAGAGAGTGATTACAAAATAGCACTGAGCAATAATCTGATTTATTTAAATTGAAGTATGATTTATAATACATCTAATTGGAGATGTTTCTCTTTCACACACTCTCTTATTTCATAAAAGACTGCTTTATATTCTGAACTTAAAAGTTATTTGTTAACTTTTTACAGTTTTTAAGTGATGTATGTTAATTCTGTTTACATTAGTCAAATGGAATCTGTGGGTGGGTGTAAATAAAATATTTCATTTTGTGTATGGCTGTCCTGCTTTACAAATATCACTTAGGCATAATTTAGATCCATTATAGGAGTTAATCGATTACAGAAAGTGTTATATTTTAAGTTAAGGAAAAAATGATTTTACTCAGAATTACTTCAGCCATTTGCAAAAAATAAAATTTTTAGAATATAAATAAAATTTTATAAAAATTGTGTAAAATATGTATTTCATTTTTATACATTATATAAAATATTAATTTTATAAATTAACTCATAAAAATATATAAATATTTTTATAAATCTTATACAAATTAAATAATTTTTTTAAATCTTATAAAAATTAAATTTTAAATTTAATTTTATAAATTTTATCAATTTATTAACATTAAAACTTTTGACATGATTTTATTAATATGCAATATGTAAATTATTTAAACATTAAGAAAAGGATTAAAAGTCATATCAAATATTCTTATTCATGGTTTATATATGTCCCTTAATTTTCATAATGTGCACACATACATATATAATCATGGATGGTAGAAAATACAGGTAATATTTTGTAGAAAAGTAGAATAGTTAAAGGAAAGTAAGATAAAGAAATGCCTCTGGGGTAGTGATTATTTTGTTTTCATATTTACATGATCTGCTCTGTTTGCCTGGATCTTAATGGAACAATCTACTCATCAGGATTAAACATTCATGAGTCCCTTAAAAGCAGGTGTTTAGTTTTCCCAGCTGTGAATATGTCAGTTCCAAAAAAAATTTATAGAGAAAGTAAAGCTCTCATAAGGAAGTGTGTCTTTTACACGTTTAATTAGCTTTCAAGATTCCCACTGACTTTCATCAAAGTTGAGCTATTAACCAAAACACCTGTTTTACTTTGAAGATCACTTTTAACAATTACTTTCTGGCTTGTCCAGTTTCAAATAAAATTAAAAATAGAAAATATACCCTAAAATTTAAAATTATGACCTAATTATCTCAGTTCCTCTGGTATTTAGTGCTCTAACATCTATCTAGGGATAATCACTGGATATTAATAGGTCAAAGAGCATTGATGGAGTTTTCTTTATAATTTAGAATTAATTAAAGTATTAGTTAAATTGCGATTATTTTCAAATACAGTGAATGCAAGGAGATCTTAGTATTTAATATTTTAATATTTTAATTATTTTAACAAGTTATTAGAATCTCTAATTTTGTTTCATTGTATCAAGTAATATCTAGCAAATTAAAATAGAATAATAATATTAAATATGTTTTTCAATTTAAATTTGTGTTTTTAAACCTGGATTTATTTTTGGGAAAAAGATATAAATACATGGATTTATGTATGTGTACATATGTGATTTATAAATATATAAATATGTAAACATAAATCCAAATATATACATAAACAAATATATATACACATGTATTTATGTATATGTGGCTATAAAATTGTTATATATACATATACACATATATTACAAAACACATATTACCAAAAATTATGAGCTTGAACACTGAGACCATTTTAAAATAAATACAATTATTCTTTCCCCCCAATTTTGTGTTGTTATCCATTGCATATAGCAGACTATTGCTATACTGAACTAATTGCTAGAAAAAGTCACAGGCTGAGAAACCAATAAAGGATGAATACAATGATCAGAACCCTTCTTTGACTCTTCTCCACAAATATGACTTTTTTTTTTATTTCTAGACACCCAGAAACATTTGGCTGTGGTGAAGTTACCCCTCACTGTCTCTGAGTGATCTCTTATTATTGACTTATTTTAGACCTACTTAATCTTATAAATATGCACTTAATTATACATTTTAATTACAAATAAACTGAGATCTTGCTGTAAAATTATTTACGATTCACCACTTCTCTAAAAGTAATATGAGGTTTCCATGATTATAACTGTTTTTTCTTTTCAAGACCATGTACATTTTTAAAGAATACTGGAATAATAAATAAAACACTTGAGTTAAAATTCTCATTCTCAAAATATGATGGTTAGTTAATTAAGTCATTATGGACCTAGTTTTTCTTTCCTGTAAGATCAAGTGGTTTTCAGTAGATAATTTTTAATCAAACCACTGACAGTAAATCATGGAAATTAGAGCCCGAAACAACATCCACAAAAATTCCCAACATTAGGATCTTGATAAATACAATATAGTTGATAATATGGTGCCCAATGCAAACTTTAGAATTTTTGTTATACACAGCATATGATGGGGACCACACTCCTCATGCTATGGCATGAAAAATTACGTTAGAAAAGATTATAAATAAGTTGACAATGAAAATATAAATATGCCTAGGAGAAATGGCTGAATTAAAAGCATTATATTTTATAAAGTTCCTCCTCTATTTTAGAATTAAGTTTATTTTTCTTATACTTTTCTACTTTGTGTTTTATAAAATGATTATGGTTTTCTTTATCAACCGTAAAAAACTATGCTATTTTTTGAAAACAATATTTTGATATTCCATTAGATAGTTTATATCAATGTGGTATTATTCTGAATTTTGCATTATCCTTAAACCAGCATAAACTGAGATAATCCTGAGATAATAATCACAAAGAAAGTGAAGCAATAATGTATTGTTAGCTGTCTTTTGTTGTTGTTGTTGTTATATTTTTGTTTATTTCTTTGTTTTTTGAGACAAAGTCTCACTCTGTCTCCCAAGGTGGAGTGCAGTGGGCCAGTCTTGGCTCACTGCAACTTCTGCCTGGATAATTTTTGCATTTGTAGGAGAGATGCAGTTTCACCATGTTGGCCAGGTTGGTCTCTAACTCCTGAACTCCAGTGATCCACCCGCCACCGCCTCCCAAAGTGCTGGGATTACAGGTGTGAGCCACCACTCCTAGCCTATTAGCTGGGTTTTGAGTTAACCCTGTGGTAGAGCTCCAGTGTGCTTAGCTGGAACACAAGGAAGTCAGCTTTCCCCTATCCTGGGCAGTCCGAAATCTGAAAATTTGTTTTTTATTGAAATTCAAATAAAAGTTTTATATTTATTTCCTGATTTATTTTACACCAATTATTGTTTACTCACCTGCCATTTATTGGCACCCTTCTGAACAGTAGGGAAAATAAAAATACAAACTTCTGCCTTCCTATCGTTTGTATTCTAGTGAGGAAGGAGGAGAGATAGACATGTAGGCAAATAAAAGATTGATTACATCAGGTAGTAGGGAAATAATGAAGTCCAATCCTTGAATTCTTAATGGAGAGCTGAAGAGAGAGAAGACGTAATGATTGATGCAAACATATCCTCCACATCAGAATTCAGCTTATCAACCCTTAATAAACCAGGGCTTTAGCTCATTAACCCTAGACTGTTGAGCTTGGGACATCAGGCAAAATAGAAGGGTGTTGTAGAAAGCAACATTTAATGTATGAAATATGTATGGAGAAGAGGAGAGAAAGAGAGAAGAGAGAATACATTAAATTAAAAATAGAGAATAGTAGGGGTTACTTCTAAAAGGAGAAGGCCTAGATCTTTGTCTCCTTCAGAGTGGTGGAAATTAAAAAGTAAGAAAGACAATCAGTTCTAACTAATGGAACATAAGAAATTAAGAAGCATCTTAATTAGAAATTAATGAGCATCTTTCGTGGGAAATGGATCATGCTATTATTTCCATCAGTTCCATCATCTCGATAGAAAAATGTGCAAGCAAAAGAGTTCTCTACACCTAGGACGTACCTGCAAAAATTAAAAATAAAAAAAGATTAAAAATAAGGAAATCAAAGAACATGGCCACCACTTTCACAACTCTGGTTATGTTGGAGGAAACCTCAGAAAAGACCATAAGTATATATATAATGTATCTCACCAAATTGAACTTGGCATACCAACATTACCCATTGTCATGACAGCTCAAGGATTTTACTATCCTAAATCCTAAAACCTGTATAACTCTTCTCCCTGGGGATGGAGTGACTTGACCATTTCTTGAACACTAGGAGAGGATGATATGGAGGAGTCTTGAGTGCTCTCTAGAAATTTAACAATGGTTCTATTTTAAAGGAGTTATATTGTCTGATACGTAATCTAGCAGTTACAAATCCATTAGAGATACTATTATCAAGTTTTTTTTTTTTGAGAAAAAATACCATACTCCTAGGCATACTAGGTAGAGGACAAATGAAAGATGATTCCCTTCAGTCATTACAATTATACTTCTTATTCTTTATTGAATGAAGTTCAGACCCTTAATATCTGTTGTTAAAATGTGTCTCAGACCAGTCTATTCACTTAATACATTTAATAATGGCTTTTGTTATGTATAACATTTTAAACCTGATTATCAGATGTTAGTGTAACCTTGAACTATACATTTTCCTTATAAAAACTTCTGTAATTTTCAAGCATGCAAGCATAGACACACACACACACATACACACAAACACACATACCTTATATATAGTATATAATTATTCAAATTTTATACACAAAAATCCCTTGGGCTCAGTGTAAAGGTAAGGCAACTGCCAAGTTTCACAAACATTATAAGGAATGAAACCAAAACTGAAATCCAGGTCTTATTTCAAAGCCTCTGTGCTTTTTGCTGACTAAAATTCTCAGACGTGATGGCAATGATAATCCCTCATCTCTTATAGCATTCTTTAGAAAGCATTTTTATTTCTTTTATGTCAGGTAATCATATCATCAGCTCTGAGTAGGCAGTACAAGCATTTTATTCCCATTTGACAGGAAAATAATTTTGAATATAAAAGTGCTATACAAATATAATGTGGTATTATTGGTATCTGTGAAAAATAAACATGAGTGGCAAACAATTGAAACAATTTTTTACCACACAATTCTTCTATTTTCTATTATAAAGTTCCATTGATTTTCATAGGCTGTCTAAGACTAAGTTGACAGTATGATTTAGTGATGAAATACAATCCAAGTTGTGGTAAAGTTGTCAGAAGAATGAAATATGTAAGTATCAACATTTGCACCTAAAACTTAGTTGTTAAAATGAAATGTTGCTTCAGGACACCAAGCTCCATTGCTTTAAAATACATTTTTATTTTTCACACAATGCAATCTTTTCGAATTCCCGAAGTTAAATGAAGCATAGACTGGGGACATCCACCATTCTCATCACAGCTGCTAAAACATCATGGAGCACATTGCTAGCTCAATGGGAAAGAAATTAACTGCCCATCTGTGCAGTGTATATTTTTTGGCTTCTCATGCTTGATTAGCAAGAGGGTTTTTCAGCATGTGATAATCCAACCATTTCACAGAGATTTTGTGTGAAATCTAGACATGAACTATAAAACATAAGACCTTTCCTTTACCTAGAATCTTATAAAAGCAAGTAGAACCTACTTCAAGAATAAGTTATAATATTGCAATTTAACAAAGTATTTTAGAGAACTAGTGTCTCTGAATCAGATAGTTAATGATTAACAGCCTCAAAACTAGCATTTGAAGGACATTAAATATGGGCCCTTCAGGGTGCAGAGATAAAGTAATAGCTCTAAAATGGGAAGGAGGTTATTTTTTTTCACAACAAAAATACAAATGCAGCCAGGGAATCAAGTAGTCTGTATATGGCTTTGCTAGTCTGCATTAAAAAATTACGATCAAACCATGCATGTATTCTGTTCTAGAATTCAGAAAACTATTCAAACCCGTAAACAGCTATAATCAGTGGACTTTTAACAGTAAAGATGTAGAAAAAATAGTTGAAATTTGGTAGTAATTATAAAAAGCAATAATCAATGTAATGAGACAATTTATGACTTAAAATTATTGAGCTATTTTAATACTATTTATATTCTACACAATGTATAGTCTGAATAAGGACTAGGAGATGGTGAAGTAAATGTGTAGCATATTCATGTTCAGTCAGTCTTTCTCATTTGTCATCTGTGTACTTCATGGAACAGAAAGAGAAAACTTTGAAAAATTCAAAAGATAAGGGCAAGACAGACATTCTAAGTCAAAAGTACACTCTTTACTTTGCAACCAATAGCAGAGGGGTAAAGTATTTGGCAAGATATTCCATATCATGCAGACATGAGCTAAAAAAATAATTTGTTATTTAGGCAATTTTCAGCCTCTCTTTTTAAAAAAGGCTGAAAGTAATAGATCTTTCAATATAGTAAACATTCAGATTATCTCTAAATGTCGGCTCCTTTCCATCTACATATAAGGAAGAATTTTAGAAGAAAATGAGATGCAGCTTTGCTATAACAGAAGCTGCGTCATAAGTTACGGCAAGCGAGAACCGGATGGGAATAGGGATCAACTAGCCAGCCAGGTGAACTTTGAATTTAATTTAGAAAATGTGCTTTATCAGCCAGTTTTATTTAAATTAAAAAATAGTGTTGAAAATTCATTCAAAAATTAGTGACTTACTATGATAAGCTTTTGTTCTCATGCTTCCAGGTCTGTGAATGGGAAGAGGCTTGGCTAATCTCAGCTGGGCTTGGATGGTTAGCTCTGTTTCAAGCAGTGTTTAGGTTCAGCTTCGTTTCATTTGTGGGTTAGCCCCAAGTATATGACATGTTTCTTTTATCTTCCTTAGTTAGAAGTACCCAGGGCATGTTTTCTTCTAGAACAGCAGGAGTTCAAGGGCCAAGATAAACTATGCAAGCACATTTTAAATCCTCTGAAGACACCACAACCACTCATAATCCACTAGCCAAAGCAAATCTCATGGCCAATCTCTGAATTAGAGAGATAGGAAAATACACTACACTATTATGAGAGAAGGCATTAAAGGCATTCAGAACAGGGCGGTATTGGAAACAAAGTCATAATATACTATGGATTGACTACAGAATTCATGGAAGAAAGATGTAACATGCCTAGAAATAGCTATTTGTTGACTGCCGTGAAAATCAGAGGCGAAGTGGATAAATTGCTTAACTATTTTGTTCTGTGATAAATGTCCTATGAGTTGCATTAGTCTTATTTTCAACACAAACCAATGGCTTTTGGTGAATATAGAGAATATTTAAAGGAACTCACCATCATAACTATCTGAGGAGGGAAGAGGGAAACTGATGTTAAAGAATCTCAGCTAGATATGGAGTGTCCAGGAAGGATTATTTATTTTTGCTTTCAAGTTTTACTTTGACTTCAAGTTTTCATAGTTTGCTGCCTGCAGGAAGTATATGTGCAGGGAGGTATCCAAGAGGAAAGCAAAGTAAACTATACATAAGTGGGTATTAATATCTTTCTTTTAAATTATTTTTTGAGTTGCACTAAACATTGCAACTATCTGGCATGCAACTGAAAGAAATGTACAGTCCCTTTCCCAGAGGAAGAGATAGTCTTTGAGTGATATTTACTCTTCTCTATGCTATCTGGTTACTTAAATAATATGATTAAAATTAAAAATACTTCAATACTACAAAATATAATTAATATATCTTATGTTAGGTAATAAGTGAATACAAGAGGAAAGAAAACAAATATCTGTCAATTTATCATCAATCTATCATCCAACTGCATGTGTATATATACACACAAACATCTTGAAAGCAAAATAAGGATAAAATACTCATGACAGTTACAGTTCTTATTTTTGTTACTGGTCATGTGGTAATAGTTGGTATTTATAACTGCTTTCTTCCACTATTCATTATGTATTTGCTTTGTCTTCAGCAAGCACTTCAGCTGGTTATGGTATTTTACCTCTTTACCTTGAGGGGTGACCCAAACCATCTGCTATGTTCTGAATGTGTCCCTTAAAATTTATATGTTGGAAATTTTATCCTCAATGTAAAAGTGTTGGGAAGTGGGGCCTAATGGGAGGTGTTTAGGTCATGAGAGTTCTGCCCTCATGAATGGATTAATGCCATTGTAAGAAGGGCTTACAGGAGCATGTTTATCCTCTTCTGCCCTTCTGCCATTTAAGGACACAATGTGCATCACCTTTTTAACCTTTCAGCTTGTGCTGTATGTGGATGCAGCAATAAGTCCCTCAATAGATGATGATGATTTGATCTTGGACTTCCCAGTCTTAGGAGCTATGAGAAATGCATTTCTGTTCTTTATAAATTACTGTCTGTGGTATTCAGTTAGAGAAGCACAGAAAGATTAAGACATTTTTATTCCTGAATGGTCTGCCCTGTTATTTGAAATGCCTGTTTGAAGTTGTAGTTTTTCGTTGACCTTAATCACAGGGCATACGATTACTAAGAGATTCCCTAAGGGATCTCCTGTATTAAAGACATACTCTTCCTTACGTCTATTGTGGAGGAGTAGTCCAATTTCCCATTGGTATTCAAAATTAGTCACTCCAGCAAACACCATAACTCCCCTTTTTGCCTCTTGATTCAGAGGCTTGAGGCGCTCAAAGTGACTGAACACGGTCATAATTTCCAGTTCAATAGAGTTATTATAATTTATCCTAGGAAGAATTCCTTTCTCTGGTACTAAGCCATTTTGGCCAGCAGATCATAATGTCACTGGAACAGGAAGCAAAAATTTTCCCAGTGTACCACTAGGGGTAATAGCAAGGGGTTCCATTTTCATTTCCATTCCTTGATTCATGGAACTGTGAATCCTGGTTATTGGAAAAAGAGAAGTTTACATTGGATGTTGATTCAGAGCACATACCACCTTCTGAAGATACTTTCCCAAGCCCTGCAAGACACTGCCAGCAGCTGTAACTGAATATTTAAGTGGCCATTTCATCAAACCAGCTACTTCAGTATGGCAGGAACATGGTAGAGCCAGTGAATTCCATAAGTGTGAGTTCATTACCTCACTTCTTTTGCTGTGAAGTGTGTTATTTGATCAGAAGCAATGCTGTATAGAATATTGTAATGATGAATAAGGCATTCTGTAAGTCCATGGGTGGTAGTTTTGGCAGAGGCATTACATGCAGGGAAGGCAAATCTATATCCAGAGGGTCTATTTCAAAAAAGACAAAGCACTGCCCCTTCTATGAGAGAAGCCAATCACTTCAGGGAATGATGCCATATCAAAGGCTCAATGTTGGTCTCTGCTGCAAGCAGTTTGGGCACGTGATGGAGGTCATAGCCAAATTGATCTTGGTAAGTGTGAGTCTTTTGCTGAGCCCTTGCATAACCTCCACCCTTGACACCATGGCCACTCTTTACATGAGCCAGCAGGGAAAGAGGCTGACTAGAATTCACATAACTGGTTATCCTATCCGCTTGATGGTTAAAATTCTCCTCTTTTGAGGTGATTCTCTAGTGAAAATCCACATGAAAAACAATTATTTTTAATGTTTTTGTCAAATCAGAGGGGATATCTCACCATAAATTTGTTACCAGTTTTTCAATCATATTCTCTTAAATTCCCTGAACACCCGACCCAATCATTGGCCACAGCCCATGAATTAGTATATGACCACAACTCTGGTGATTTCTCCTTCCAAAGAAAGTGAACTATGGTCTCTATTAAGGCCGAGGCACAGGCTGAAAGTTGTTTTTCAAAAAAGAAAGTAGTTATCCTTGGGAGATGGCAGGGCCTTGTTCCAGAATCCTAAAGGCCTTTCCTAGATTTTACCTATAAGAGACTGTCAAATATACCAAACAGCATCCCTATCTGGTACTGAGATTCAAGCACTATTGGATATGCTGGACCATATGGTCCAAGTAGCATAACAGCTTGCGCAGCAACGTGAACCTGTTGTAGAGTCTTCTCATGTTCTGACCAAACCAAAAGTAGCAGTGTTTTGGGTCACTGGATAATGATTCAGAATAACATACTCAAGGTATGTTGCCTCTAAAATTCAAAGAGGCCAACTAGGTGTTATGTCTCCTTCTTGCTTACAGGAGGGGCCTGATGGAACAATGTATTCTTTACCTTAAATGGTATATCTTGATATGTTCCACACCACTAGGCTACCAGAAGTTTAACTGAGACAGAAATCCCCCAAATTTTAGTCATATTTATTTCCTATCCTCTCAAATCCAAATGGCGTGCCTATAAAAGTCTAGGGCAGTTACCACGTTTTGCTAAGTCCAATAATTATAATGTCATCAATGTAATGAACCAGAGTGATATCTTAGGAAAAGAAAAGGCAGTCAAATTCCCTGAAAGTTAAATTACAAAGTAGGGTTGGAGGATTTATACAGCCCTGAGTCAGGACAGTGAAGGTGTATTACCAGCCTTATCAGCTGAAAGCAAATTGCTTCTGGTGGGCCTTATGGAGAGAGATATATATATATCTCCATATATGTATGTGTGTGTCTGTGTATATATATCCATATATGTATATATATACACATATACATATGTGTATATACAAATGTATATATCTATAAACACATATATTTATATATATATATATAAAAGACATTTAACAGATCGATAGTTGCATGTTACTGTAGGATTAATTGAAAGCCTAAGAAGCCTTAACATTGCTGGATTAAGATTCCAACTGCTTAGATCTAAATTCTGAATGGCAGCTTCTACCCTTTATTTCTTTGTCAAGAATACTAAACTTTCTGTACCTTAGTCTCTCATCTGTAAAATTGGGATGACATTGGTATCTAATGTGTACATTTATTTTAATCATTGGATCAGCTAACACCAGTTAAAACTTTTAGCACAAACCTTGGCACTTTCTACTCAACAGATGCTGACCATGCTCATTTTAGCCTTCAGTATGTTACGGATGACTGAGCAGAATGTATGGTCGTGGGATGAACAACTAATTTGGTTGAAGACATCATTATGGATCACAAAACAGTTAAAACAGAGATAAAGGTTTCTTTACGGAGGTACTTTATTCAGTATGCAGAGTAATGCCAGAGTATGATGTGGCAAGAGGAACCTGAATATGTGTGTCTTGCTATTGATGTTCATAAAGAGGAGAACTTGTTATACTATTAGGGGAATCATGTATGCAGTGTCCAGGTGCAGGATGCCTGGTGCGTTATATAAGTGTCTAGATGTGGATTGGGTCAGGCAGGATATAGATTGAAAATGATTTAATTATTTTATCTTAACATTTTTGATTGCTTAATAAAATTATGTCCTTTCTATCCTTCTTGGATAGATTTATGTTGAACTTGTAACTCTTTATTCTGTAATGCCTCAGATACATTTTGTTTGATATTTTCTTTTTTATTTTTAAAAGTCTGTCTCAGATTACATCTCTTTTAGATATGTAATGATTAAAAATTGTAACTCATTTTTTTCTGGTTTTATACAAAGTAACTATGTGAGACAAAAGCATTTCATTTTGCATGAATAGCTACAATGTCTAGCTTATGGGAAAGCAGGCTATATTAAAATTTTATTCTTTACAGGGTCAATACCCATTAGAGTCGAGCTTCCACTAAATGTTCAATAACTGCTAGTTAGTGATCTTGATGATGAAAAATACTCTTAAATTTCTTAGCCTCAGAGACTATTATTATGCCATATAACTGTCTACAACTATTATTCCAAACATAATGGATATAATAGGTCATGAGACTATTTCATGTTCTTGGGTTATCCTAACCACAATCATTGTTTTTAAAAACCCCACCTTTAACTACCTGTAATATATAATCATCATTCTTCCTTTCTGTGACAGATTAAAGCAGCTTGCAAGTTATAAAACTGATTGAATTCTGGGTAGTAAATGTATTTTGACAAAATTTAAACACCTTGTTCTTTTTTATATATCAAGAATATTTCTTGGTAATAAATATCAGTTTGTTGCTGTAGCCTTTTGCAGCTTTGATTTTATGTAAACCCTGTATATTTTCAATTTTTTTTATTATTTATAAAAGTTCAGGATTACTGTTCTTTCTATAGCCATGGGATGATTGCTTGTTTTCTCTCCTGGGACATATAAATGGAATGAGAAAAGCCACTCCTGGGAAAAGTTGAATCCAGAAGAAAGTGTTAAAGCTATGTAGTGGAGTCTACTAATAAACAAAACAAAAGCAAAACCAAGTAAAATAAATCTCGAAGTAAATCCTGTTCTGCATGGTAGTTTTATATTTTTATGTAGTAGTTTTAAAGGTTATTTTATTTTTGCTGTTCCCCCCGTTTCCTTCCTTTTATAAATGAAATTCAATCTGCCAATGATTACATTTATTTTATTAGGGTTTGTGGTTGGTGGTGATGGTTTTTAGAGATATTTAATTTCAACAACTATACATGAATGTAGTACAAACTCTTACAATTAGATGGCATTAGATCTTGCATAAAATGAATTCTGATCACACAGAAAAAAACAAAAACAAAAACAAAAAGCAAACAAAATACCGTGTTTCTCCCTTTAAGCATGACAATAATCTTTGAGAAATTTGAGAACTATAGATAATATCTTGTTCTTCATTTCAAACAATCATGTATAGTTGTAAAACACTTTCACATATCATATACCTTTTCCCAAATTTTTTAAAAGGATAATTTGTGATTTAAAATGATAAAATGACTTTATTAGAGAATTGTCGTTATCTGAGACTTGAGGGCAAATCTTTAGATTACATATATCACTATGGTTCTTAAAAACTAGCATATGTTGTGTAAATGCAAAATAAGATAATATTATTTTAAATGTTATAATTAATATAGAAAAGGACATATACTTAGGGTGTAATACACAATATCAAAGTATCTCAAACATTAATGCCAGAATATGTGACATTTAATAGAGTTTTCAAGAATAAACTTATGCCAATTAGGCTTCTTTTTTAAAGAATGTAAAGTCAATATATTGATTCTTTCTCAATCAAGATCTTTGAAATAATTTAAAATGTGTCTGCACTTAATCAATGAGCAAGTCTATGTATTACGTAAAGTTTAGATAATAATCTGCTTAATTTGACAAATTTTGTTATATTGTATACATCTCATATATTTTTGTCTATATAATTTTGTCTCAGAATTGAGCTGGAGTGTATTTATTTAGTATTTTTTGCCTTTTTTTCCCTCTAACATCAGCAATTTGGCTCAGTTCTAAATATTAAACAACTGCTGGAGTTCTACATATTAAAGTATTACTCTGTACTAATAAGTATGTTAATGATTGCATGGTACACAAAGCAAAGCCTTATTCCTTGCCAAGTTAATAGTCTAATGGGTAAAACAGAAGTGCAGCAGATTATTTCAATGTGCAAGTTAAAGGGTTGTCCAGGATGCTTCATAGAGTCACAGAGGACAGACATTAATTGTGCTTGTCAGCTCAGAAAATAATGCCTGAACTTTTCTTGTGTGTTGTAATTCTTTCAAACATTGGCTCACTTTACATAAAAGTGAAGCCCTGTTCCAGAACATCACTTTCTTTAAGTTCAATAATTATGTACTCTGATGAAGAAAAAGTTCCCTGAGTCTCTGGCTTTGGCCCTGCAAGTATCCAGAAAATCTAAATTTCAGAGAAATTTGTGATTTTATGCCCCAGTGGCCAAATTTATCCCTTAATAATGCCTTCATTTTTATGTAGAAAAAGAACTTGAGGAAAGTAAATCATGACTCCTTTTCCCTGAAGTCCATATGCTGGACTGGACTGGCCTCCTGAAAGTGGACACTCTGGACGCTGTGCAGGTTGCTAAGCCCTTTGAAATTAAACTCTATCATAACCAGGGAATTGGGTTGGCTGGATCCATACACCACTTACCATGCTGCTCTGTAAGTGCCAAATCACTAGCCTGTACCTCCAAGATCTTGACAAAGATCCTCTTCCAAACAGAGATTTTCTTATGCACTGTTTTAGTCATTGAACTTGGCACTCTTACAAGCACATAGTTCAATATGCTCAGTAAATATATAGGTCTTGCAACTGAAATGCATTTTTTTCACTGCTAGGATACTAGTTATATTTTGTACTAAACTGTGAAGATTCCGAAACAAGGAAGGGAAAGTAAGTTTTCTAAAGTAATACTAAGTAAGTACTTAAAATAGAACCAAATTATTTTAAAGTCTGTATTATGGGCAAAAGCCAAAATATATATTGGAGCATTATTTACTCTGAAAATAACAAGTAATTAATTGTCACTGGATAAGACAAGGCTAAGAGAAAAATAAGAGTAAAAATATGAGAATGGTAATGCAGGTTTTGTCACAAGACTCTCGTATCTTTTAGTGAAATGTTGACAAACTTCAGATATGAGGAATCAATGGAGAATGTAGGCTAGCAGTGTTGCATGATTGTACTTTTATATTTCCTCCTCTGCTGGATTGCAATTATATAATATTGAACAATATATATAAACTGGCAAGAGTGCCTAATTGCTGTATATTTATTACACTACATATGTAAAAAGATTTACAGTTAGTAAGTGCTTAATAACTACAAACTGACATCAGATTGAAATTAAATAAAGACAAGCTCTGCCATGAAAAGTTAGCTTATATGAGTCTCCTTGACCTCTGATAATAAAAATATAAATCATCTTTTGTCAATGTTTGGCCTTTAGCCATCTTGCAGTGGTTTACTTTACGTTTTCCCTAAAGTTACATGTATTTAAACAGCCATAGAAGATATGATGCAATAAACTCCTTCATTAACCTTTAATAAATCCTGAAAATTACTTGGTATAGTAAAGATGTTTGAAGAATTTGGAAAAATAACTAGATTTAAAATAATGATATTCAAAAACATCAGCAGTAAAAGCATTTATGAACAACGCTAAATAAAACTGATGGTGCCAGTTGGAATACATATTTTTCACTTGGAAACTATCCATCTATTCACACCAACAACTGAAATATCACATTTAAGGAGTGTTCCTAGAAGTCTGGAATTCTATTGCTCAGTCAATTATCGTATGGACTAACCCAGACTGTATCAGGATTTTCCAAAGAACACTAGCCCAGTGAAAGGATCTTGACTTAAGAAAAGGGGGTGTTCCATTGAAACACAACATTTCTCACTGATTCTTGGTTCTCTCCTGTTTTGGGGCACACTGAAGATTGAATTTCTTTGCACCCTGGAGTTTGGTACTTTGGAACTTGCTTTCGCAATCAGTTATAAATGGAAATAATCAAGATACTTGGCTGCAAGAGTAAAACACTTCTACAATTTTTCCCTCTGACATGGAACAAGTCTCCTGTCTTAATAAAAGACCACATAGACATCCAGGAAAAACAAACTTTTGTTCTTTTAAGCCACTGATATTATAGGGAGATTGTTATTACAACATTATCTAGTCTCTCATAACTTATGAAAGAAGTGTTACTTATTAAAAAAAAAACTGTTCCTTGACTTAGGATCGAGGGACAGGTACTATTTTAGTAAAACTGTTCAGGAGAGTTGGAAGAATGCACCAACATTATATTGTTGAAGAATATTTGGTATAATTCACACATGTGAACATTGAAAGACCAATAAGTTCATCTGGTACAAATCTTGCCTGTGACAAAGTATAACATAGAAACTCTAAGTAATTAATGTATTTGTTCTAGGGGAGATTTTGAAAAAGCAGAATATTAACAACATTGATTGCAATTGGCTTAATCTAATAAGGTTTTGCAAAAAATTAATAACAGCACACAGTGATTGATAAATTTTGATGTCATTTCAAATTTAAGCAGTAAATGATAAAACTTAGTAATGTTTTAAACAACTTTAAGCTATTTGAACTCAGAAATACTCAATATCAATTCAAGAATATGCCTGTTGTAGCCATTGTAAAGACAACCTTTAAAGCTACAGATAGATTAAATCAGGATTGATTGAATTATCCCAGAGTGAAGACACAATAAAGAATGTAGTATGCAGTGAAAGCTTTCAAATGGGCAAACTGGCACTACAAGATTCTCCAGGCAATTTTTGTATTTTCTGCGCTCCAGTCTTAGAAACCGCTACCTTATTTTTTCCTTTTTTAAAAAATTATCTTTTTTAATTGACAGATAAATTTGTATATATTTACCATATACAGCACGATGTTTTGAAGTGTATGTATACTTCGTGGAACAGCTAAATCAAGCTAATTGACATTTACATTACCTTAGATAAGGAAAACAGTACAGGGATTCCTCAAAAAATTAAAAATTGAATCCATTCCTTCTTAAAGGAACTGATTATTTTAATTAGCAAATGGTGTTTAGAAAACAAGCTCTGAGTGTATTTTCATCACATGTGCTTTTTCCTCTGAACAAACTAGACACCATGATCCTCTCTTATTACGCTGATTTCATTACCTGACTTATGTTGTTTATTGTTAGCTAGATGAAGAAACACAAGTAGACAGGCTGAGATGTGGGCAGGACATATTAGGGACATGTTTAACATAGGGCAGGTCAATAAGAAGGCAGTAAATGACTATAAAAAGAAACATAAACAGATGGAAAAACACACAAAATTGAGAGATGAGACATGCAGGTAAAGCGAATGCAGTTCTATGTGAAAAACAAGCAAGAGCAAAATGGATTCTGCTCAAAGACATGCTCACGTTGGCGCTTCCTTATATGCCCAGGATTAAATGGGAAAGAAAAATCTATATGCAATTGCTATTATATTTTAGACACTAATAAATTTGACTCGTAACTTCTCATTCAGTCTTTTTTACTTTAACCCTTCTTCCTTTAAAATTGAGTATTTAAAAAATAAAAAGAATGAGTGTGACAATTCTACTTCAACTAAACCTTTCAAGTTCATACAAACTAGGAAAAAAGCAGAAATAAGTACATAATAAAATATAACCAAATTTTATAGAGAGGTATTTATGGCCAGAAAGCATTTTTCAATTAAGAAAGAAGTTATCGAATAAATAACATTAAGTTATTATTTCATTCATTGATTCAGTCAACATTCATTAAGCACCTATTATGTTTTAGTTGTTTTTCTTTTCTTTTCTTTTTTTTTTTTTTTTTTTTTTGAGACGGAGTCTCGTTCTGTCGCCCAGGCGGGAGTGCTGTGGCGCGATCTCCGCTCACTGCAAGCTCCGCCTTCCGGGTTCACGCCATTCTCCTGCCTCAGCCTCCCGAGTAGCTGGGACTACAGGCGCCCGCCACTGCGCCCGGCTAATTTTTTGTATTTTTAGTAGAGACGGGGTTTCACCGTGGTCTCGATCTCCTGACCTCGTGATCCGCCCGCCTCGGCCTCCCAAAGTGCTGGGATTACAGGCGTGAGCCACCGCGCCCGGCCTTTAGTTGTTTTTCTATATGCTGGAAATACATTAGCAGATAATCTCTTACCTAATTGGAAATTTTAGTTGTCAGGTGATTGATAATATATTACCTTTGATTATATTAAGTACTTTGTGTTAGAACAAAACAGAAACGAAGAATGAATAAACAATTTTTCAAAGAGTGATCATAGAAGCTTAAGTAATAAAAAGACATGAAAGGATAAGCTATATGCATATCTAAGAGAAGAATTTTCAGACAGAAAGAACAGTCCATCCAGGACAGTGGTGGTATATTTCACAAATAGCAAAGAGGCTGGAGTCCAGGGAGACACATGAAGGACAGTAGAAGCTGAGATCAGAGTGGTAACAGGGAGCCAGATCAGAAAGTGTCTAAATTACTTTGGGACTTCGGCTTTAACTCCAAGAACAAAAGGAGCCATGGGAGAGTACGGGACAATGAAATAAAATGATCAACTTTTGGTTTTACAAGAACACTACTGCCACTGTGTAGGAAGACAAGGGCAGAAGCAAGAAAACTAAGTAGGAAGCTATTGCAATAATTCATAAGAGAGAAGACTTGCCTTTAACCAGGTGCTATTACAGGAGATAATATAATGCTGAATTAATGTGGATGTTAAGCCTTCAGGGCTTACAGATGGAGTTGAATGGGGTATGAGAGAAATAGTAATGTTAAAAATGCCTTAAATATTTTAGCACAAGTAGTTATCAGGCTAAAATGAAAGAAAACTTTAAAAGAGTTATATATTTCATATAGAAGGACTAGAAGTTCTCTTTTAAACATATTAAACTAATGTAGAAATGCTAAGAATACAATTATTATGATTCTGGAGTTCAAGAAACTATTTGGAGAAGAATATTTGGATACTGTCAACTGTCAACATATGGATTTTTAAAAATTAATGAAACTCAATAAGATTACCTGGAAGTACATGGAGAATAAGTAATGGAAAGGAAAGATGGGGTAGAAGAACAGGAATGAAAAGTGTGGGAGATTGGAGGAGGAATAGAAGGATCAGGTGGAGGAAAATAAGCAGACCTAAAGGTCAGACTGGGTCATACAAACATTTAGAAAACACAGAGAATAAGAGAAGCCAGTCAGAAAGACTAAGAGGAGGGCCAGTGAGGAAGGAAAAAAAAATTCAGTAGTAGAGAAATAGTCTGAGTGTTTCCTATGTCAATACTGCCACTTTAACCTGGATCAGAAATGAACATCGGCTATTCGATTTAGCAATGTTGAGGTCATGTGCAGGGTCAGTAGGATGGGTAGTGAAAATATTTAAAATGGTATTTGAAAGAGTATTTGAAATGGGATCAAGGGGAAATAACAGAGTAAAATCAGAAAGCAAGTACAGTCAACTTTGTCTGGAGTTGAGCTATATAGGAAAGCATAGAAAAGAGATGATAACTAGAAGGAGATATAAGTTTTGTATTAAAATAAAATTTTTATTAAAATGGTTTTTATTTAAATATGAAGGTTCAAGTATATTTATATCCTAATGGAAATAATCAAGTTTAAAGATAATGTTACTAATGCAAGAGAAGGAAAGAATATTGGTTTGAATTTCTTCATTTAGGTGAGAGATAATTAACAGGTTCAAACTAGATTCAGATACATTTAGGATTACAGATAAAAGGAAATTAAGGTCAGGGTCAGGGTCAATGTAGTTAGAGATAGAGTTAGAAAGACAAGCAGAAGAATTTGTCTTTGCTAAGAGCATGGAAGGTCAAAAGCTAAATATATGATATAGGTCAGGCAGTGAGTTAATGATATGGTTGAAATTCAAGGAGGATGCCTTCCGATTGCTTCTGTTTTTCAGAGAAATAGGATAAAAATATCATCTAGAGTAAGAATGGTATTGGAGTGAATGAACTAGATAAACAACCTTAGATTTCTGGGTAGGATATATAAGGTCTCAACTGAGATTGTTGTTCATGATTTAAATGGAAGCCTATTAATTGTTTCTGTGCCCTTATCCACCTGCAAAAGTGTAGCACTGAAATAAACAGAGACTGGCTTATTTGGCATAATACAAAAGAGTATAAAATAGGTAGTGAGAGACGAGGGATGCATAATATATACAAACAGGAATAAGAATAATTGGCCGTACAATTTATATGCTGAGCAAGGAAAAAGTTAATACCAGAAAGTGAATAAATCAGTGAAAGGGTGATAGGATCAATGCCTTGAAGGCACAGATCACATTTTTAAAATATAATGACTAGTAGAACATTGGTACCAACAAATTAAAACTAGCTACAGACTTGGGAGACTGAGGCAGGAGAATCACTTCAATCTGGGAGGCGGAGGCTGCAGTGAGCTGAGATCGCGCGACTGCACTCCAGCCTGGGCAACAGAGTGAGACTCTGTCTCAAAAAAATAAAATAAAATAAAATAAAATAAAGAAAGAAAGAAAAGAAAAAAACTAGCTACACAACAAACCAGAACTCACTGACCATAGACAATGGGTCTCCATACTGGAACTTTCCAGTTATTATCAGAAATAGTTGTAGGTACTGCTGGAGTTGTTAATGTGTTAAAGTTGGAACACTAAAAGGAGTTTTGTGAACAGATAGGAGATGTTCTTCAAGGTATGGGATGCTTTAAATTGAGATTATATTTATTAAAGATAGCTCTCATAGTGGATTACAGAGATAGGTCAAAGTAAAAGTTCACTAGAGGAGAGATTAGCTCAAAAAACAAAGTGCATGTCATATGGTGGGGGGGATCAACTATGTGAAAACAGATATTACCAAGAATTACAATAAGAATGTAACAATTTCCCAAAAGTTGAAATCTGTAAGGAATATCAGAAACAGTCATAGAGATCTATAGATGACTATAACATAGAACATTATCAAGTGGCATTGTCTAATACATATGCTTCAGAAGCTCCAGAGTTAGGGGAGGACGGAAAGCACAATGTTCTAACAGGGGTGATAGGAAACAAATAGAAATACCAACCCAACTTCTATCCCAAGATATAAGAGAAAACTTCTACAACTTGAGAAATCTATAGGGGAAGTAGAATTTTTGAAAGAGATTTAGATTTAAGATAGAGGAAGACAGTAAAAGGAAAAATTGAGAGATACGTTGAGAAGATAAACAATAGAAGATGAGTCGTTGGAGAGTAGGTCAGAAAAAGAATGCAAAGCCTTCTGGAAATGCTATTGAGCTGATCTTAGAATCCTGCACTTCTTGTGGATTTGACAGGATATGTTTGGTGACCTCAAGGCTCATAGATGATTTGAGGTGTGAAATTTGTGGGAGAGAGGGTAAGCATTGTTGCCAAAAGCTCTTAGTCCTATGGAACTCTGTCATCATGACTGCTAATAAAAAAATGGGGCAAAGGACAGACGTTTTTTCAAGAATAAATAATAATCTGGTTTATATTTTGCTTTATGGAAATGGAGTGACAGGTATACTACAAATAGTGAAGCCATGAAGCTGATAATTTACATTTAGTCCTAGGGAAAAGACCCTTTATTGAGATCCTACGTCATTAATAAAGTTTTAATTTATGTACTCACTTGCTTATACTTTCTCCTTAAGCCATTAATTGCCTAAATTTTGTTCATATATAACTAACCACAAAGTTTTCAAAAATGTGCTCTATTCCACACACAAAATCTTTTATATTAGCCTGGTCTTTCTGTCCAACATTCCTTTTGTCTGGTTTAGAATGATCTATTGTCAAAGGCATTTGAACCAGAGTGGCTCCATCTTGAATAGGGGTTAAGTAAAATGAGGCTGAGATCTACTGGGCTGCATTCCCAAGAGGTTAAGCATTCTTAGTCACAGGACGAGATAGGAGGTCAGCACAGATACAAATCACAAAGATCTCGCTGATAAAACAGGATGCAGTAAAGAAGCCAGCCAAAACTCACCAAAACCAAGATGATGACAAAAGTGATCTCTGGTCGTCCTCACTGCTTATTATACACTAATTATAACTCATTGGCATGTTAAAAGACACTACCACCAGTGCCATTACAGTTTACAAATGCCATGGCAATGTCAGGAAGTTACCCTACATGGTCTAAAAAAGGAGAGGAACACTCAGTTTTGGAATTGCCTCACCACCCTTTCCTGGAAAATTCATAAATAATCCACCCCTTGTTTATCATGTAATCAAGAAATAACTATAGGTGTACTTAGTCAAGCAGTCCAGCCCACTGCTCTGCCTACAGAGTAGCCATTCTTTTATTCCTTTACTTTCTTAATAAAGTTGTTTTCAATGTATGGACTTGCACCAAATTCTTTCTTGCATGATGTTCAAGAACTCTCTCATGAGGTTTGGATTGGGGCTCCTTTCCAGTAACACTATGACTGATTTTACCAAGATGGAGACAATGAATGTGAAATTTAAAAGTATTAAAAAAAGTTCTTTAAGTTTTAAAAATTGACAGAGGTGATGGTTTCACAACACTGTGAATGTTTAATGTCACTATATTTTACAGTTAAAAATGGTTAAAATGGTTCATTTTATGTTGTGTACATTTTATTGCAAAACATTTTTAAGGCATTGTATGTATTTGTTTCACTATAAATAAAAATATCACTCTTTGAAAAAAGTGCAAGAAAATCAGTTGAAGGTTATTTAATCCATTGACTACTCTAAAACATGTGCAAAAGTCCATACATAAGTTTTATATCAACTATTACATACATATGTTTTAAAATATTTTCTTCTGTCAATGACATCAATTCTCATGACTCTCTTCAACCCAGAAATCCACCTATGCCCTAACCAAATTACATGAAAATTACACAAGTACTTCAAATTCAGTAGGTTTCCAACTGGATTTATTATTTCTTTTGTCAAACACTTTTTTCTTCCCTGTTCACTAACTCAGTTGGAAACACTCTCTTCCTTCCAAAAATATAGTAAAAAGTTTTCACTATATGTTGATGAGTTACATATTAGTTAAGACTTTTAACTTCTTCTATATAAAGGACTCCTTTGCACATGATCTAGCTGCTGTCATCTTTTTGAGGAAGTGTATCACATTGATATCAGTTGTTGTCTAAAACTGCAATTCACAGTATGATACATTTTTTCTCCAAGACTTTTAAGGAATCCTCAATAATTAGATAATATATCTCATATATCTTAATATTAAAATAATACATGTTCTGGCCTCCATATATTTTGCCACTATTATGACCTAGTTAATTGTACTTAATTTCTCTTGTCCTAACCATGCTAATCCCCTTGACATTTTAAGAAATGTCTTAAAAATAACAACAACAACAACAAACTATGCTCTTTTGTGTCCTCTTGGTTTGGAATGGCCATCTATGTGGTTACTGCTTGCTGAAACATCCTTCATTCTTAAAACAGTAATTAAGATATGGCTTTTCACAAAAACTGGCTGGATTCAAGTACTGGCTTTTCTGTTTACTTATCTGTGAAAAGGGGAAAATTATTATTACTATTTAGAATGGCTGTTGTGAGCATCAAGTAACTAAATACATGGAAATTAAATGTCACATCATAAGGACACAGTTATTGTGCTGTTGCTACTTTTTTGTTATTATTATTATTGCCATTATCATTGTTAACATTTAAATACTGTTCTCTCTCAAGGTTTTCCAGCCCCCAATATGAAAATATGATTCAATAGCATTTTTTGGTGTTTATATAAAGTACAGATTTCATTATAGAATACATATTTAATAGATTTTAAGAATGGTTGTCATACAATTTAACATTTCTGAAGTTGGAATGCATCTTCTTATGGACGGCATTTTACAAACCTGCATTGGCATACACTGAGAACCAAGAAGATTCACATTTGCTTCTTCCAGTCACCTAGGGACAAAATAAACCTGAGACAACTTTCATTAAATTCTCTGCTTGAGGCTTTTGGACCACACTAGCAGTGTGAATTCAGAATACAAACCTTGCAAGGTAATGCCTAGTGATTTAAATCATCTGGGAAAGTTTTATCTCTTCCACCAAGTATCAAGGTAGAGCCTTGTTAGTTTATTTGCTGTCCTTTCTTGTAGTTTGAGGTCTTGTTTACATTTCCCTTTTGTGGAAAGGGAAATGTAAACAATGGTTAATACATAGCAACGGTTAATATATAACCCTTTTGTGGATTACCCTCAAAGGGGACTCTCCTATATAGTTTGCTCATGTCAAGCAATTTTTTTCTTTTCTGAAGTATATAAAAGTACAAAAAATAATGGCACATCTTAAAATCCATTGCATTTTGTTTTGATGAAATATTGAGATAAGCATTATATAATATTTAATATTTATGGATCAAAATTATCTTGGATTTGTTCATGCATATTATCCCTTTAAATGTGTTTTATCCCTTTTAACCTTTCAATATATCCCCTGCTCCACAAATTCTTGCCAAATGCTTTGTATGTAGAAGATGTTATATAAAGGTTAGCATCAAATTGTGAATAACGTATGTTTACTTCGTATATAAAGAACTGTAGTAAAATTTATTTATAGTGATGTAATGTATAACGTAAATACTTTACTGAATTCAAAATACAAAAAGTGCTAAATTTTGCACATATTAGATTGTTATTTACATTATAGTTTCAACATTCGGGATTAATATATAATCATATATCTACAGGTATAGTTTTTAGAAGAGAAGTAGACACAAAGAAGAAAGTATCTCATAAAGGGCAATGATAATGGGTAAGCTAGTCAAGATGGTTTTTATTTTTGCATTACCCTTTCTTCTACATATAATTTTTGCACAATGTCTACAGATAATATTGTAAAATTGGGCTGTATTGAATTTAAAATTTGTTTTTAAGAAAAGTGCTTTGTAGCACAACATGGTACTAGTGCATAAATTGCTACTGTGAAAAGTTGTGGTATGAGGATATTATATAAATAATCTAAAATAATAAATCTTTTGCAAGCTTGATCACCTCTTTGAATGGCCCATATTCAATAAACATATCTACTTAGTATCAATTTATTTTGAAAATGAAAACCAAGTAGTCATCATTAAGCTTGAAAGATGGTGTCAGATTTACACTACATTGGGTCTATAATTAAAAAGTGAAACTTGAATTAAAAAGTAAAAAATAATTCTAAAAACTTTCCATGACATTGTTTCTCTAAAGGACTTCAAAACCCACAAATCAACCTTGTGTTTAACATCTAAAATAATTTATTTAATATCAATTCCTATTTGCCTGAGTGTTCAGTGAATTTATGTAAAACAACTCCTGAAAACATCGAAACCTCTGTTTTCAAGTAAAGTTTTTAATTACAGGTTTAACTCAGTTATCAATAATTTTGACAAAAAATTGTCAAATGTGGGTATGAACCCTGAATCTGATACATTTCAATATATTAACAAGTATTTCTGTCAACTTTTTTTGGTAACAAACAGCTCCTAAGTCCCTGAGGTTTACAAGAACAAATAAATACCATTTGTTTTTTTTTTATTTCTATCCCGTGGATGTATGTGTCAGCTACAACACTGCTTGTCTCTGCTTGCCATGGTTTTGCTATTTTCCACATATCTTCTCATTTTGGGGCCCAAGGTGATTTCATAACTCTTATCTGAGTCATTTTTTTTTCTCATAGTAGAGGGCATAAGCAAGAAGCTGAAGAAAATCATGCAAAAGATTTTAAAGTTCTTCATATATGTCAAGCCTTCTTTGATTATCATGGCCAAACCAAGTTATATGGCCAAGCCTTATTATGAGACAGAGAAATATACTCCAACTACAAGGAGGCTTGGAAAGGCAAGAGGTAGAGGTGTGATAATGATTAATATATATGTATATATATATATATTTTTTCTTTCTTCTTTTTTGAGATGGAGTCTCGCTCTGTCGCCCAGGCTGGAGTGCAGTGGCGTGATCTCTGCTCATTGCAAGCTCCGCCTCCCGGGTTCACGCCATTCTCCTGCCTCAGCCTCCTGAGTAGCTGGGACTACAGGTGCCCGCCACCATGCCTGGCTAATTTTTTTGTATTTTTAGTACAGACGGGGTTTCACCGCGTTAGCCAGGGTGGTCTCGATCTCCTGACCTCGTGATCTGCCTGCCTCGGCCTCCCAAAGTGCTGGGATTACAGGCGTGAGCCACTGCGCCTGGCCAGTGATTCATATTTCTTAAAAAAGTTTTTTTAACTTTGTATTTGCATATATAGATGAATGTGGAATAAAATATATTACTGCTTTCAATTAAATGTTTCATTATTAGATTTTTCTCTAAATTATTTCACATAAATCTAGATAAAGCATTAAAGACATTAAGTTCTTTAAAAGCAGTTTTATTACATAAGTTCTTGGTAAGTACTCAGTTGAATTACTACTTTAAGTGTACTGTTTTTCATATCACTGTGAAGGTGAACCACTAAATAGTTAAGGATAATTGTGATGTATCTGTCTTCCCTGTACAATTTTTTTGCTATCTAAAATTGAGGGCAATATAGCATTTTATCCATGCTTACAGTAATCATTCAAATAGTAATACATTTATAAAGATATAGAAAAGAGCATTATGTAAGCCCTATGTCACTAAATTGAGCAGAGAATAATAGTCTATAATGGTTGAGACAACTTAGGAATTCAGAAAACCATGAAAATTAATAAAAAATTAAAGTCTAGAATGTGATTTATGAATCCTTACTTTGTATTTTCTTTCTGCTTATCTTTCCTGTAACTCTAGGGAACTTAGTCTTTCACAAAAAAAGTTTACATTCTGTACTTTCTTTAATCTAATGAAGCTTCTCAATTCATCAGACAATACCATTTATAATCACGCAATGAGAGTTGAATGCACAAAGACAACAAAGATGGCATCTCAAGAACTTCCTGAGCCCTACACAGTGAGAGGATGCCAAACCCCATTGCTAGTGATCGCTATACACTGTGAACTGATGCACTATTAGATTTACTGAGCCACACTGAGGTGTTTATTTGTAAGCTGGAAAATGACAAAATAGAACACATTCTGAATTCTAAGGTGTTCTTACCTTTTTAAAGCATTTGGCTGTGGGGACCCAAGGTGGAAATTATCCTGTATATTGACTGAAAGACTAGTCAAAGAATTGAATGGTCCCACCCAAAATACCAATAGCTTCCTTGTTGGGAAACATTGAACAAAGAGAATAATCTTTCAACATTTTTTGTTAACTATAAATTTTATCTAAATATTTTTTCTAAAAGACTTATGCAGAAGAATATATTTTAAAGCTTATATATCAAAATATTGAATCATCTCTAGATTAGAGGTATAATATATATTTTTCTTTGTGACTGTTTTCTGAAAAGTTATGATGATTTTATTTGCTTGATTACACAGATTTGTCTTTTCTATTTTAATATTTTCCACTTCTGTTTTATGTATTTGTTCTTTTAAAAATATGGCATGATGTTATTTCCCCTTCTGAGGTTGTTTCATTTTCACTGAATGCTAGTGCTGGATCGAACAAGCAAGTGACCATTTGCTCCAACTTTTATTTTCATACTCATATGTATTCAAATTTTCTGAAACAAATAATTGCAATTCAATTTTTGAGAAGACCCCCACATATGATAACTCCAAATGATTATCTTGGTGTATGTTTTAAGATAGTAATTTCTAAGACTGGCAACCAAAATCTTCCTTATTATAATTTAAAATAGTTTTGTTATTATTTAGGATTTATGTGAAAGAGGGTGAAGGTGATACATGCCATACGTCTCTACATTAAACAAATAGACAAATTAAACCACTTTTCTAGTTTAAGAGACTACCTAAATCTTGACAAAGCTGGGAGAAAAAAACATCATATTAAAAACATTACAAAATGATAAATTATATAACTGGAATGATCTTCTTAGAAAGTAAATTTATGCAATGATAATTGGATACATACATTTTCCCACAAGGCTATACATGGAGATTTTCATTATGCTGCTTTTGTGTTTGTAGAAATATGGAGAACACATAGTTTCCACTTCTAGAACAATGGATAAATAGAAAATGACTGGCACTGTGGGATTCTATGTGACACTTAAAGTCAACAATCAACATATACTTAAAATGAAACTAATAGATTTGGAAAAGATAGTGGTAATTAAAACAAAGAGTTATATATATATAATATATATATAATATATAATGTATTATATATATATATACACACACACACATTTGCATTTCTTTGGGTGAGAAGAATTGGACTGTTTAAAATAAATAAACATATATATCCTCAAATATATACATACTTTAAAAAAGTGAGAGAAGTTACACAGAGTCATATGGTTAGCCTTTGACTACCCCCCAAAACTCATCTTGAATTGTAATCTCCAGAATCCCCAAGTGTCAAGGAAGAGACCAGCAGGAGGTAATTGAATCATAGTTGTAGCTTCTCCATGTTGTTCTCATGATAGTGAGTTAGTTCTCATGAAATCTGATGGTTTTATAAGGGACTCTGCTCCCTCTGTTCAGCACTTCTTCTTCCTGCCATCTTGTGATAAGATGCCTTGCTTTCCCTTTGCCTTTCGCCATGATTGTAAGTTTCCTGAGCCCTGGAGGACTGTAAGTTAAATGTCTTTCCTTTATAAATTACCCAGTCTTGGGCAGTTCTTTATAGCAGTATGAAAACAGACTAATACACAGAGCAATTGTTATTAACTGAGAAATAAAAAAATATATACAATTCTTTGCTTCTCCATCATTCACTCTGCCATATTAATGCAGCATAACAAACCATTCCAAAACACAATGGCTTAAAACAATAAGAATTTGTTTTGTCTTGAGTCTGTGACTGAAAAATTCAGCTGGGCAATTTCTGAGTTTCACATGGATTCTCCGTCATGTCTGGGTATTACCTGACTGCTGTCTGGGGTATTATGTCTCTAGAAGTGAGCTGATTATTGCCTGGAACAACTTGTCTCTACTTCATTTTTCTCTCACCTCTCTCTGGTGGGCCAGCCTGGCTGTGTTTCCACATTGAAGGCAAAAGTGCACCAGTCCTTTTTTAGCTTTTTCTTATACTACAAATGCTAGGATATCAAAGGCAAAAGCAAGTCACATAGCTGAACTCAGAATTAAGATGTGTGTAATTATGTTATGTGCTTCATAACAGGAACTGCAAAGTCCCATTTTAAAGTGTATACATTCAGGAGAGGCAAAGGACTAGGGCTATTAAGGCAACAAGTTTATTACAGCCCAAAGGTTTAAAATCATGATTTACATTTTATTGGATGAGGGTTGCAAACAAAATGAAATAAAATATTATATTTTATTTTTAAATACATATAATTAATTAAATTTTATATTTCTATTTGTTTCTGCGCAAAACTAGAAAAAAAAATACCCAGGACAACATAAATTGGAACCTACTGTGCATTTACAAAATACAAATAGAAAGAAATACATCAACATAAAAATAATTTACTTGCAAAACTTTCAAATATAAAGCTACTTAGTCATACAAGATTCATTAAAAAAGTACTTGACAAACAACTGTTTTTCCATTATCTTAGGTGACTATGATTGTCAATTCAGTTGTTTTTGTGTATTACCTAAGGAATAGCTAGGGTCAGGAAGTAAATTTCACTCTGGTGTACAAAACATTGACAAGTATCTATGACAAGATTGGCTAATCTCACAGAACATTTGGCATAGATTTTCTTAAAGTATACTGGATTACATTTTTAGTAGGATTAAAACATTTTCTAAGAAATAAAATTTGGTGAAAATTAGTCATAAATATATAAGTCAGTCTAAGAGAATAAAGGCAAACAGTAATTGCAAAGTTGATTTCAGTTAGTATTCTATAAATATTCTCCAAATTGTATGTTAAATTTTTTATTTTATTTTATTATTGTTTTTGTTATCGTAAGGTAAATCAGCCACCACTGACAGCAATGATAATTGGGTTTATAATTTATGAGTAGCTGCCGATGATACAAAATTAAATATTGGACAAAGTTCACACATGATGACATATTATAAAACAACTAAGCAAAGAGAAGATAAGCAAGGATCAAAGCCATTTTAAAAAACTGGGTAACTTAAAAAGGCTTTTCCCTAGGCCTATCAGTTAAAAAGAAAAAAAAGAAAAAATAGAGAGACTCGTTCTCCATATAATATGGGGCTTTGAATGTGAGAAAAATAGAATCAAACACATTATTCCAGAACCTTTGATAACAAAACAAAAGTTACAGGAATAAATATTAGTCCCCATCTAAACAAATCATATCTGAGAACTTAATTAATAATGTAAATTTAACTTATCTGGTAAAATGTTTGAAAACAATTTGGCATTCTGATAGATTTTTTTTAATTAATTCTAAGGCAGTATTAAAATATGTTGGACTAGCTTTTCACAACTGAATATTAATTTAAGGGATCAATTTTTGATATGCTTAATCTCTTCAACTACTTTCTACAGAAAAATATGTGCATGAAAGACTAGAGCATAATGACATTTTGGTGCACTACTGAGCACATACATGGCAGTGGTCCCATAAGATAATAATTGTGCTGAAAAATTCCTATGGCCTAGTTACACTGTAGACATTGTAACATTTTAGTGTAAGGCATGACTCGAGTTTGTGGCGTTGCTGGTGTAAACAAACCTACTGCACTGCCAGTTTAGAAAAGAAAGTATATAGTTAACTTCAGTACATTACTGGATAACGATAATAAATGGTCATGTTACTGGTTTATATATTTTTATACTGTACTTTTTATCATTATATTAGAGTGTATTCCTTCTACTTATTTTAAAAAAAAAGTAACTGTAGAAGAGGTACTTGCAACAGCTCCATTTGTGTTACGCCCCCTGAAGACCTTCCAGTGACACAAGATACGGATGTGAAAGACAGCGATATTGATAATTGTGGTACTGCATGGGCCTAGGCTAATGTGTGTGTTTGTGTCTTAGTTTTTAACAAAAAGTTGAAAATGTTAAAAATGTTAAAAACAGGAAAAGCTTATGGAATAGGGATATAAAGAAAGAAAATATGTTTATACAGCTGTACAACGTGTTTGTGTTTTAAGCTAAGTGTGGTTACACAAGAGTTAAAGAATTGAAAGGAATTAAAAAGTTTATAAAATAAAAAAGTTACAGTAAGCTCAGATTAATTTATTCAAGAAAGAAAATTTCTAAAAAGAATTTAATGTAGCCTAATTATACAATGTTTATAAAGTCTAGAGTAGTGTAGAGAAATGTCTCAGGCCTTCACATTCACTCACCACTCACCCAGTGACTCACCCAGTGGAACTTCCAGGCCTGCAAGCTCCATTCTTGGTAAGTCTTTATAAAGGTGTACCATTTTTTTTTATTTTATACTGTATTTTTAAATTATTTTATTTTTTATTTGAGATAGTGTCTTGCTGCTTCCCAGGATTGTTTCAAATTCCTGGGCTCAAGAAATACTCCCACCTCAACCTCCAGAGTGGCTGGGATTATAGGCACACACCACTACGCCTGCCATATTCTCTATTTTCACTATGCCTTCTCTATGTTTAGATATACCAATACTTGCCATTGTGTTACAGTTGCCTACAGTATACAGTTGAGTAACTTACTGTACAGTTTGGTAGCCTAGGAACAAAAGGCTGTAAGATATAGCCTAAGTGTGTCATAGGCTATACCATCTAGGTTTGTGTAAGTAAAATCTATATTTGCCTAATGACAAAATTGCTTAACAACACATTTCTCATCATTAAGCAATGCATGACTGTGCATTTATTTTCATTTTTCTGTTTGAAAGTACTTATTGATTTCTCAACTGAAACAATGTGATGGTTAATTTTAGGTGTCAACTTGCCTAGGCTGTGGTGCCAAATTGTTTTGTAAAATACCCAGCTAGATGTTGTGGGGAAAGTATTTTTTGAAGTAATTAACATTTAAATTGGTAGATGTTGAGTAAAGCAGATTACTTCCACAATGTGGTGGTCCTCATCCAAACAACGGAAAGCCTTAAAAACAAATCTAGGTCCCTGTTAAGAAAGGAATTCTCTGTTGAGTCAAAAATAGAAATTCTGCCTAAGTTTCCAGGGTTCAGACTGGAGACTGCAATATTAACTCTTGGCAGAATTTCTAGTTTACTGGCCTGATTCTAACTTGCATGCCCCCTCAATTGCATGAGTCAAAGGTGGTTTATTTGGCCCTTAAAGTAAACCTTCTCTCTTGTCTCTCTCTCTCTAGACATGAGATTTATCTATATTTATCAATCAATCAAATTTGTCTATACCAGGAGAACTTTAATATAAACAGGAAAATGTTATCTAGGCTAGTTTAATGTAGCAAAATTCAAATCAAACACTGACGAGACATTGAAGGCAGGTAAGAAAAGATATGTGAACAATCAGCTTATAAACAAGCAAATAATCCTCCTAAGATCCCTTGATCCATATTTTAACAAATAGAAGTCTCATTTGTTCTTAGGCCAAAATGATGGTAACTTACTCTTCTATCCTTAAAAATACTCAGCCAAATATCACTTATTAAATTATTAAATAATTACTCCCCTAAACTGGAGTTCCTACATAGTTTTGAATACTTTATCCAAAATGTATGCAAGTGTCACTGGATGCTTTGGCTGTTGCTTCACCAGCGGCAAACTCTGTGGCCAGCAGCACCTCTGGCTGAATTTCACTTGCACCCACTGGGCTTGTTTCCAAACACTCATCCGACAGGCTGTGCTTGCTTCACGCTATTGGCTTAGATCCCACGTCCACTGAGGGTGAGCCAGGTGCGGAGTAGTGAGGGATGTGTAAGCAAGTGAGCACAGGGTCCAGCCACTGCTCACAGCCAGGTGCGCTGGCTGCTGTGGCAGAACGGGTAGCTCCAGGTGCTGGCTCAGGTGCCAGCTGCATGGAAGGCTGCAGCTGGACTGGGCGTACCACAACAGCTTCTGCTGCAGGCGCCAGCATCTGAACAAGGGGAACAAGGTGGCATCTGAAAACTTAGAGATGCCAGCCACCACAGGGCCCCAAGGGGTGGAGGATGAGTTACCACTCTCTCAGTCCAGCTGCCCATGGCACAGCAAACATGGGACGGTGCCTGTTTCAGCCCATTTGTATTACAGCTTGGTCAGCCACTCTGGTCTGCAGCTCCTGGGCAGGCCCAGCCCTGCCACTGCTTCCCATCCCAAGAGGCAGCTGCCCAATGCCAGCAGAGGGTGAGAAGGCTACAGAGTTACGGCTCTGGCTTGGGGAATACTGAAATCTGAGGTCCCAGAAGGGTTGTGCTGTTTACTCCCACGGTCTGATGAACAAGAGCGTGTCACTGCTTGCAGCTCAGTGAGCTGGCCAGGAACATGTTACAGCCCTTTTTGTGCCTGCAATTCAGCAGGTCCTGAGTTCCTGTCTGGAGTCCAAGAACAATGCAATAATGCAGACAACTGGAGGGTGACCAAAGCAGAGAAAAGCTTTATAGAGTCACACAACAGCTCTCAGCAGAGAGTAGACCTGAAGTGGGTAGCTCTTATCTGCAGGCAGGTAGTTCAAAAGTGTCTCTGAGTCCAGCTGAGTCTGGGGTTTTTATAGGCTTAGAATGGAAGAACTGTGTGCTGACTGGTCCAGGGTGGGAGCAAGTGCTTGCTTATTGGTCCATGGACGGATCTGGAAAAAGTATCATTAGATTGGCCAAACTGCATCAAAGAAGTTCTCACTCCAGGCAGTGTACTCCACCAGGAACTGGCAGCCCAGATTTCAGACTTTCAGCTCTCTCCAGTCTGAAGGTGGGTTTCACCAGGGACCCGCCCCTCTCTGCTGAGGAATTTTTCTGCCTCCTGCCGCTATCACAAGTATCATGCTTCATGAAGTTATTGCCATAGCCCAATGTTTTACACTAGGATTAAAGAAATTTTCAGCATAGTTACCTCACTCTGAGGATTATTAAACATTTCAACATCTTATAGTGAATTCTGCAAAGAACAATTGATTAGGACACACTGGCAATAACTAAATAATGATACATATTTTTCCTCTCAAAAAATTTAACATACTAATGAAGACTCAATATCTAAGCTACATCTCCATCACCCTGAGAAAAATAGGACAATACTGATGAAACAGAGGTAATCTCTAATGATATAAAAGGAGAAATTTACTTGAACTCAACAGCCTGAATCTCAGGATTAACTTTTACCAGGAAAAATTAACAAAATGGCGATTAATTATTGAGACATATTCTGTAAAAACTGCTAAATTTCAAAGATAAAAATTGCATGTGAAAAGGCAGAGTACAGCACACACATATTTGTCTCCCTTCTGATTGTGTTATTGCTTATTATTATTATTTATTTTGTATTTTTTAAATTATGTTTTGTTTGTTTTTGTTTGATTGGTTTGGTTGGACATTAAACATACAACCATAAAGATGAGCAGAACAAAAATGTAGCAATAAAATTATGTAAATTAAAAAAACATATGTGAGCAGCAAAACACTTAAGGGATCTCTTGTGGGAGGAGAAGGTTTGTGAGGCCTAAAGCCTAAGCTGACAATGAGGAAGCTCAAGCCTAACTCCATTTGTACTATGCAATTCCAACCGTGTTCAGGAAATGGCTGCAACAGATACTCTGGAAGGGGAGGTAAATAGGAAACTTAAATGACAAGATTATTTTCTTGTCCATTTTTTTGAAAGACAGACTTCCAAATATGTTCCTACTTTCAAATCAGTCACTCAACTGCTCCACCCAGAAAAGAATTAAAATTTTGGCCAGGCGTGGTGGCTCACACCTGAAATCCCAGCAATTTGGGAGGCTGAGGCAGGTGGATCATTTGAGCTCAGGAGTTCGAGACCAACCTGGGCAACGGGGTGAAACCCCTTCTCTACCAAATACACAAAAAATTAACTGGGCATGGTGGTGCATGCTGTGGTCCCACCTACTCAGGAGGCTGAGGTGGGAGGACTGCTTGAGCCTGGGAGGGGGATGTTGCAGTGAGCAGAGTTTGCACTCAAGAAACCTGGGTGACAGAGTGAGAACCCATCTCAAAAAAAAAAAAGAGACAATGTTTTTTCTCAAGATCACAACGTCTAATGACTGGGACACAGGAGACACAACAGAGGGTGAGGGTAGAGTACAGAACCTTATATTGAGTGTCCATATGAATGCTGAGAACACTGGGGAAAAACAGAAGATCCAACAAGTTTTCAGAGTGAGAAAAACAAAAAAGAATCAGAAATCCTAAAGTCTTCAGATGATTCAACAGCAGCACTGACAGGAAGAAGAAAATGGAGCGATG
Organism: Homo sapiens; assembly: GCF_000001405.40. Taxonomy (NCBI): domain Eukaryota; kingdom Metazoa; phylum Chordata; class Mammalia; order Primates; family Hominidae; genus Homo; species Homo sapiens. The sequence continues at coordinate 166,442,503 of NC_000003.12, read as the reverse complement.
CCTTCAAAAGCTTAAATTAAGGAGATTTCCTTACTGATGCATACAATGTATGCCCATTCCAACTATATATTTAGGGTAAAGTTTGAATAAGAGCACTAGTTAAAAGTCTTCATAAATAATTACTATTCACTTTTTTCAGTATGTGACATTGTACTGAAATGATGAGTAAACCAGGGAGAGAAAGACAGAATACACAAAACAAAGAAACTAAAATAAGAGACAGCAAAGGGGATTCCTTGGGCCATGGGGAAAGGATATACAAAATGTGGCGGTTAGGTAACAGGTATAGGGAACAACCAATTCAGAATAGTGAAATATAGAAGACTACAAGAGGAAATTATCTATTAGAATTAAATTGAGAGATGCCCCAAAGAAATGTACAGATTTAAAGCGTTGCCATGGGATTATTTTGCAATTAATGACAGCAAAATTGAAGATCAAAAGCAGCCTATTTTTAACTCTAGAAATAACACAAATTTGTGCATGAAATAATATAAAAATCAAAATTAATTGGGCTTCACAGTTGTGACTAGAACTTACAATATCAAAATAGTGTAAACACTGAGTACCTCCATCTATCTAATGCACATTTTAATGTATTTCTTTAAGGGTAAAAAGCAAAAGAGAAAGATGAGAATGTGTAGTAAGAATAGGAGAAGGAAAGCAACATCCTCATTATTACTATTGAAAAGTCAATGGATAATGCTTAAAATCACACACACATAGACACAGACAAATACACACACCTATATACATGTATAATATATATAAACACATGTACATACATACATTATATACACATATATAAATTATACAGAACTATGCATGCATTATGTACATATATGTTATCAAATAGGAATACAAGCATATCATTAAGTGGTCTGGAATTAAATACAAATAATTAGTTAAAATTGTTCCTTTGAAGGAAAGGGAAGGGGAACACAGGGTACAAGGCAGATGGTTCATTTTTTAAAATTGGCTAATTTACATTCACTGGACAGTGTACAAGTTTCCATTTTCTTATCAGAAAACAGTGCAGGGTTCCTCAAAAATTATAGATCTAGCAATTCCACTTGGTATACATCTGAGAGAAATCAGTATGTCAGAGATATCTGCATGCTCATGTTTACTGTAGCATTCATTATTCACAATAGCCAACATATGAAATCAACCAAAGCATGCATTAATGGATGAATGGATCTAAAAAATGTGGTATATATACACAGTAGAATACTATTCAGTCTTAAAAAAGAAGGAAGTACTGGAGGACTTTATGTTAAGTGAAATAAGCCAGACACAAAAATAGAAATACCTCATGATTTCACTTATATGTGGAATCTGAAAAAGGCAAACTCAATAACAAAGAGTAGAATGGTAGTTAACAGGGACTAAAAGAGTAGACTGGAGAGATGTTGCTTAGATAACACACAATTTTAAGCTAAAAAAATAAGTTAAAGAGCACTGTTGTATAATACAGTGACTATAGTTAATAACAAGGCATTGTTCTTGAAAACCACTAAGAGAGTAGATTTTAAGTGTTCACACAATAAATTATGTGAAGTAATGAATATGTTTATTAGCGTGATTTAGCCATTCCATAGTGTATACCTATATCAAAATATCATGTTGTACCTCATAAATATATCCAATATTATTTTTAATTTAAAAATTAAATAAAAATAGTAGAACCTAAAAATAAAAATTGACTATATAAATACATACATTAATTTTAATGAAAAATATATATTTCTCTGACTCCAACAAAAAAGAGAAATAATAAATAGCAAAGTGTGATAATGCAGAAAAGAATGAATGAAATGAAGAGAAATTTAAAAACCCAGTGGATTGTTACCGTACACTTATTTCCTTCCCCTGCCAAAACCCCACTGAAGTGTCAATAACAAAATAAAAAAAAATGAATAAAGAAAACCTCCAGAGTTAAGGAAACAGGGTAGACAGCAACAGCAAAATAAATTGGTAAACTTTTAGAAGAGGAAAAGCAATTTCTAAAGTGATAACTGCTTTAAGCAAGTCTAAGAGGCTGAAAATAAAATGCATACAAATGGAGATACCAAAAATAGGTAAATTGATTTGCTTGTCAAAATCTTGGAAAGATTCACAAGTTGAAGGCAAGAGGAGACACAGAAAATTGTGGGTACACATGTAGATAAAACAGAAGGTCTCAAACCAAATTTACTCCAGAAGGTATTAAAACCCCAGGTTCTCAATCTAGCTCCACAATACCTGCAAATTCTCTTCTCCCTTTCTCAGTGTAGGACATTTATTTTTTGGAAAATGTAAGCAGAATCACTAGACTTAAAGTAAACAAAAAGTGAGAAACTTTTAACTTAAAGTCCTTTACTTTCCCCAGATTTCCCACCAATAGCAGCAAAGGATTTTACTCCCCAAGTACTTTACCAAAAGTTGGCTTTCTAAAGATAAGGATAGGAATAGAGTAATTCCTGGGTGAATTACTAGTTATGGAGGAGGGCTAGTAAAAAGCAACTTGTCACTTGATCATGCTAGAGTGAAATTCATTATTTAACAAGAATGGGAATTAAGTTAAAAATGAAAGCAAAAAGAAACCAATAGAATGAAAAAAGAATGTGAAAGAAAGGGGCAATATTGAGATAAAAGAATATTTTAAAAGTCTACAATTTTTATTCTCAAAGAGAAAACAAGAGATAGTGTGTTCAAAAAATAAGAATAGACCACAATAAATGGGAATGGAAAAGAAAGGGGAAGACTTAAAAATTAAAAATATTTCAGCTCCATCAAAATCTAACATAAAAGTAGAAAAAAAATCTTCCAGAAGTAGGACAAACCTACAAAGGTTAAAAAGCAAAAATAAAAGTAGGGAGAGTGGGAAGAAAAAGACAAATAGAGAATCAGTGCAAGAGCCCCAACACTGACCAGGAGGAATTCTGTAAAGAGACAGCACATCAGTAGATAGGAAGAAAGTAGACCCATTACTCTTTGCCAACTACAGTCACTTCTTACCTGAAATAAACTTTGCTGTGTCTTAATTGTAAAACAGGCAACTGTTTCTTGCAGATACTATTTAAAAATATATATGAACCAATAAATTATATATTTTTTCCAGATTAAGTATTATTCAATTATAAAGTTCTATTATAAAACCATAAAGTTCTGTTACATGGTTTTGAAATATTCTATAGAATACTTCAAACCTACTGTAACAAACCCACATACACTATGTGCTTCAGCCTTAATCTCTGCATTTGTAACCTTACTATCTGATGGACAAGGCTGTGTGATTTCTCTCTAACCATAATAAATCCCTCCTCAAAAATCTATCATATCATCTCTTTTAAACTTAAATTTTATCACAGAGAAGTCAGAGTCTTCTCTTCGGAGTCAGTCTCCTGAAACATATGAAATATAGGTAAAAGACTGTCTTTTACTAACAAAGTAGCAAAAGAAACAGTCCTCTAGGAATAAAATTCCATGTTGTACCTATCAGCACCCATGTACTGCCTAAATGTTCCTATATAGCTGTTGGTTTGGCCTCTCTCTGAGGCTATTCTCAAAGTTTTTACTAACTCATATTCTGAAAGGACGATGTTTGTTAAACTTTCTGGGGGTTCTTTAAAAAATATTTTTTCAACTTATTTTGTAACTTTTTGTTTCTTAAAAAAATCTGGTGCAAAAATGGCAAACATATTTCTATATAAAATGTAAGTTGTTTCCAAATATTCAGCACTACAAAAAAATACTGGGAAAAACATTCCTTGAATATGTTTCTGTGGGCATGTCTACAAATATTTATCTAGGGGTATATACCTGAAATTGCAGGTTTCTAGGTTATAGGTTATATTCAGTTTAAATAAACATAGTATAGCTTGTTTTCAAATCATTTATACCAAGTTACATCTTTGCTGGCAGTGTTTGAAATATTATTTCCTCCAACACCTGGCTATCATTTAAAATTATCCTTTCAAATTTTTGTCAGTTTGATGGTAATGAAATAATATCTCATTGCCTTTTAATTTTATTTTCTTGAATTCAAATGAGATTGAACGTTTTTTCATGCGTTTGTTGCTTTTTAGGTATTGCTTCTATAAATATTTTTCTTTTCCTTTGCAAGGACTCTTTATATATTCTGGATAATAGTCCTCTGTTAGTTACATGTATTTCAAAAATCTTTCCCAATTTTGGCCTGTATTTTAAGTTTATAAATAGCATCTTTGTCAGATGCAAGTTTTACATTTTTATATCATTAAATTTAATCATCTATGTCCTAATGGCCAGTAATTTTAGTGATATGAACATATTCTACTATACTTTTTCTAAACATTGTAAGGTTTTGGTTGTCATATATGGATGTTAATCCACCTGAAATTTATTTTTTGTATGTAATAAATAGATAAATACTTTTATCCTTTTCCTCAAATGGCTACTTGTCGCAGAAACCCTGCCCTACTGATTTATAACTGTTGTATATCAAGTTTCTTGTATAGATTTTTGTGTTTCTCAATTATTTATTATTCCCCTTAGTCTATTTGTCTTGCCTTATGTTAATAAAATGCTATTTTAATTACTAAAATGAAAAATATTTTTATCCTTCTGAGAAAACTTTCATATAATAAAATTCCCATTTTCAAAATATTCATTGAATAACCACAATTTGGTCAGGGAACCCAATGAAACTCTTTACTTCCACCTTTGGGAAAACAATTTACACTTTGACCTCAGGAGACCAGAAAATGTTACAACTTCTGCTGTTTCCCTTGAGGCTAGGCCTTCGTCTATTAGGTGCACAAAACACATGTTGAAATGAATAATTTAGAAATATCTGAAAGTAGTTACATGTCATCTAAAATCTTTTCCCATGACTGTGCCAAAAAATGGTTTTAGAAAATCTGAAGTGACTTGATGTGGGCTGCCTCAATTAGCATCCTGTGTTAGAAGAATGAGGATTGACAGCAGGAACACGTGATGCTTTGAAATTCACCCAGTAGTTCAAGGTCTGTTACTTGAGGATGCATGCAAGGTTAAAGTTTAAGAGATTGTTCATGATTCTTAATCATTCTGTGCTTTAGAAGAATACTGGTCATACCATAATTTTTTGACTAGGAAATATGCCATGTATGTTAAAAATGTAGTCCTATTTTTAAAAATTATATATGCACACATGTTTTCTGGAACACATCTGCTATTAAAAGTGAAGTGCTGCTATAAAATAATTAATCACATGGTTATTTCACTAAACATTAACATTTCAGAAGAATAAAAACAATTGTATTACTAATAATTTCTTTTATAAAGCTAGATTAAAAATATAAAGTAACTTAATCGATTTAAATAAAGGTAAGAGTAAAAACAATTTAATACACATTCTTGCATTATAATTCATTTATAGTGACTTGGCTTAAGAATAAGATTATTTGAATGTTTAAATATCTACTGGTATTTGGGATTTTTTTGTATATATATATTCCATATTATTATAAGTTATCACAATTAATTTATCTTTATTCTCAAAATGAAACAATTATACATGTCAGCTCTTAAAAAGTTTGGCACATTAAGTTCAAGTTTATTTGAAATGTGCATTATTCAATCTACCTGTATCAGAGATCCAGTATTACATTTCTTTTCTAAAACACTAGTTTTTCTTTCTTAGCATTATACTCAGCTACTCTGTTCCAGCAAGTTTTAAGATTTAGAATTGTTTATCAAGCAGTAAATCCTGTGAGGCCTAATGTTCAAGGACTGTGAAATCATTTATAAAAAGAGTCCCACTGAAAAAATAATTCATATTGGGACAAAGTACACTGAAATTGAATTTACCAAGAAATAATCAGAAAGAAAGCACACTTCTAATATTTTGATGATCTGCATATCTACGGATTATTTCTTATAATGGTTTAGTGTCATGACATCTGATTGGATGACAAGGATTCTTATAGGGATTCTATAAACTTAAAAAATTATATATATATGTATGTATTTCTGTGCATATATATGCATGTAATGCTTTACATTACACACATGTGTATATATACACACATATATTACATATATGTAATTATGTGTGTTAATATATACATACATATGTGTACACACACACAAACATTAGTGTTAACAAAAAAGTTGAACTATCCTGAAATATTTACAATTGTTACAACTCTTGCCTTTCATTTTTTTCTAACACAAATGTTGAAAGCAGAAAAAGGCACTTGAGCTACCTTTGTAAAAAAACAAAATTGCTGTGTAAGTACTTATAACCTAAACTATTTTTGTTATTTCCATTTAAGACATTTTTGAGGGCATAATATTTATTTTAAAATGGTTGTATTTTATTTTCATGTTAAATATATAATGAAAAACATTAGTGAGATCAACAATATTTACCCATTTTAGAATGTTTATTAAGTGAATATCAGGATATTTTATTCCATGCAATTCATTAAGCAATTAGGAAGGTAGTATAATAATGTAGAAAATACATAGAGTATCCATGTTTAGAGAAGAATAATTGTGGAAAGAAAAATGGGAAGAAAATTGATGTAGTTATTTCAGAGCTAATGGAACTGTTGAGAAACACTAGTGAGTCACCAAAGTGTTTGAGTATTATGCAGAATATATAGAAAGGCATGAAATCAATTGGTTTAAACCAAAACCTAATACATTGCTGACATTAGTGCCCACTTGCTACAGTGGGGGCTACATTTTCTACAGCTGAGAAATAATTTAAATTGAGACATCACATAGTTTATTCAATTATATGTGTTTTTTTTTTCAGGATTCTGTAAGAGTCCCTGCCATCCAATCAGAATGTCATGACACTAAAGCAATCTTTCTTGCTGAGCAGTATCAAGAAAACATCTCTAATGCACGGATTATTTCAGAACAGTGTTAATATAGAGATGGGCCTACATTATAGGTACTTGTTAATGCTGTTCTCATATCCTTTCCTCCTTCCTCACAACAAGCATAGTAATTGTCTCAATGTGCATAACTTCGAGTAATACTTACTTCTACATTTCCGTTATGAGGTAGAGGAAAACTCTTCGGAGATATCTCTAAAATAGTATTTCTAACCATTTTAAGGACATAATAAAAAACATACAAATGCAGTTGCAGAAATATTTTTTTTTTTTGAGACGGAGTCTTGCTCTGTCGTCCAGGCTGGAGTGCAGTGGCGCGATCTCGGCTCACTGCAAGCTCCGCCTCCCTGGTTCCCGCCATTCTCCTGCCTCAGGCGCCCAAGTAGCTGGGACTACAGGCGCCCGTCACCACGCCCGGCTAATTTTTTGTATTTTTAGTAGAGACGGGGTTTCACGGTGTTAGCCAGGATGGTCTGGATCTCCTGACCTCGTGATCCGCCTCGGCCTCCCAAACTGCTGGGATTACAGGCGTGAGCCACCACCCCCGGCCGCAGAAATATTTTAATGCCATTTTAGAAGGTTAGTAAACCACTTAATTATGTTTATTCTCCTGCTGACTCAAGTTAGGTAGTATTATTTATACATTTAATACTTTGAGAGAAAGAAACTAATCAGTAAGAAAGCCAGAGGAAGCACTGCTATAGTTTTTGGGCAAAGAATTTGGCAAGAATATATTTAGTTCCAATTTAGGTATGTTAAATTTAAAGACATAGAAGCTGAGTTGCTGAACAAGAGGTTAAAAATTCCAGGAAAAAAAAGTGAGTGTGAATTTGAGCTCAAAGTATTACTTTAGAAAGTATCTTAACAGTGATGATAGAAAAATATTTACCAAGAGAAAAATAAAAATATTAAAGAGGAAATTTTGGTAGAATCGATATAAAAATGGGACAGATGCAAAGAGTGTAAGGAGAGTATAAAAAGGAATTATCATAGACTTAAGAGGATAATTTATAAAGTGGAAAGAAGTATAAAAAAGATTTTAATACTCTATGATTCCATTTCTAAAACACATTCTTGAAAAGGCAAAACTATACAAACAGCAAACAAGTAAGACTATCAGAGGTTTGTGGAGGGAAGAGGGCTAAATAGGTGAAATACAGGTAATATTTTTAGGGTGGCAAAAGGCTCTTATATTGCTGTATCTAATGTAACACGGGATTTTTAGGGCCATGAAACAGTTGTGAATGATATTGTTATAAAGAATACATGTGGTATGTGTTTTGTTAAAACTTATAGAACTTTACAGCACAGAACTTTACAATGCATAATGTAAACAAATTAAATAAGTACGATTAGTAAATTGGAGGATTGCAGGATGGAATATAGTCTGTGAAAAAAAAAAAGCAACAACTGCCTTCCAAACATATAAAATAAAGAAAAACTGCATGTAAGTAATCCACTGTAGCATATAAATTTATTTCTCATAGGGTTAGCAGTTAATAATTCTGAAACCATTCTATGTGGAATTGAACAATTTGGTAAATGGAAGGTCGACAGTAGGAGCCAAGTTTCTCACTGCTGGAGTGGAAAGTTACACATAAGAAAGGAGAGAGGGCTAGAATAATCAAAGTGGTACTGAATTAGACTTGCAGATATCTTTATGAACTCACGTTTGGAAGGCAGTTGTTTTTTTCACAGACTATATTCCATTCTGCAATCCTCCAACTTACTAATCATACTTATTTAATTTGTTTACATTATGCATTGTAAGGTTCTGTGCTGTAAAGTTCTATAAGTTTTAACAAACACATACCATCATGTATTCTTTATAACAATATCATTCACAATATTAGATGGATTAATATACAAATATAGATACAGGTACATACCTATATTTATATACTATTTACCTGTATTTATAGATATAAGCACACATAGATATAAGTGAACTAGTCTGTGCTGCCATAACAAAATACTGCAGGCTTGGTGGCTTAACCAAGAGAAACATATTTATCACAGTTCTGAGAAATCTAAAATTGGGGTGATTTTCTTAAGGAGGTGGAGATAATTCATAGTGCCTTAAGAAAGGACTGAGCATAGTGACTTTCTTCCAAAAAAAAGAAATATGAAAAGTGGGAAAAAAGAGTAACTTCACCGTGGAAAAATCTGAAAGACCCTACCTCAGTCACATGCTCAAGATTAACACCAACAATAACAGTGGCATATTGACAGGCTGGATCCTTGATATGATGAGATAAAATCTTCCTTTACCTCTGTGCTTTTCCTCTCTAGAACCCATAACTAACCGTGAGAAAAAAAAAATCAGACAACCTCAAATTAAAGGACATTCTATAAAATATCTGACTAGTGTTTCTCAAAACTGTCACAGTCATCAAAAATAATAAGAATCTAAAAACCTGTTATAGTGAAAGGAACCTAAGAATGCATGGTAAGTAAATGTAATCTAGATGAGATCCTGGAGCAGAATATAGACATTAAGCAAAAACGAAAGAAATATAAAAAAGTGTATATTTTAATTAAAATAATGTATCATTAATGATCTATTAATTGTGACAAATGCACCATGAAAGACAGTAGCAATATGGAACACTGGGTGTAGGGTATCTGACAACTCTCCAACATTATCTACACAACTATACTGTAAATCTAAAAATATGCTAAAATAAAACTTTATTTTCAAAACAGAATACTGAATGAATCTTTTATAAAGTTGCTTTTTTCTTTTCTTCTTTTTAAATTTTCTATTCTTTATTTTTGTGGACACATAGTCGGTGTATATATT